>NC_000006.12:155979880-156131396 GCF_000001405.40 Homo sapiens
GACAGCATGTGCCCAGAGCCAGTGCCCTTAACCAGTATGTTTTTCTGCCTCCTTCAATTACCATGTGTCAGGTCCCACCCTGTGGTTTTTACACAAAACTCTTCCTCCTCAGATCCTAACTGGGTATATTTCTTTCTTCTAATTACCTAACTGGATCATGACTTTTCCCAGGTGAACTCCTGCCTAGTTCCTCATCCCCCAAGAGCTATGTCCACGATGAACTAGAAAAAATGTTAAAATGTCTGGGTAAGGATAACGGCACTTAAGAAGTGATGGATCTTTCCATGCATCACTCAAAGCCTGGCTTTCACCTTCTGCTGTATCACCAGGGAGGATCTAATCATAGGAATCTGGACATCCTGCCAATTTCAAGCAAATTCGGATCATGAGTTCAAATGCCAGAGAAGTCATTAGAGACTTTGTTTTTGTTTTCAAATCGCAGACCTGTCCTCGGGTTGTGATGCTCACACAGTGAAACTAAAAGGGATGCATGGCCATACCCACATCTTGAGAGAGAGAGGGAGAAGGAGAGAGAGTGTGTGTGTATGCATATGCACTCATGTGTGTGTGTTTAATAAGCAAACACTATTGCTTCCTAAAAGCTTTCTGCATCTTGGTTTTTACAAATCACACATGCTCTTTTCATGCTGGGCTTTGACATCTAAATCTGGAGCTACCCAGAAAGGCAAGTCCTGAAGGGCATTTTAAAAGCACATGCTGCACTATCCCTTGAGAGTAATAAGTCCCTCAGCTTTTAAACAGTAAGAACCCCAAATATAAAGATTACTCCCTGGAAAATATGCAAGATGTTTCAGCATTATTTTCCAGCATGCAAGTCTATAGCAGCATTTTTCACTGAGAAATTTTTAGTAGTAAAAATAAAATACCCTTGTGACTTTAGACATTCCCCACCCTTCCTTGATTCAAGCAAAGTCAACAAATCACACAGCTTCTTGGAAGCAGGATAACCCTCTGAGCAGAGAAAGGGCAAATGCAAACAGATTTGGGCTAGGACAGTAATTTGGTAAATGCAACCCTAGCCCATCCCCACCCTTATCATGCTTCCCATCAGGGTAGATCTAGGGCTAATTTCTTCCAGAAGTAGTGCTTATGAAACAGGGAAAAGCTTTGTTTTGTTTTGTTTTTTTACTTTGGTAGAATTACAACAAAATCCCATTACCTTACAAACATTCCAGACTGACGTGAGCTGTCTCAGCAGGTTCACTGCTCCAAATTTAGATCTGATTCTCAAGAATTTTATAAGTCCCATAATGGAGGGGAAAATCCTTTTTTTGGAGGGGAGCTTATTTCAGTTACACCTAATAAAAAATATCCAGCAATGATTGGGACAGCAGTTGATACCATCCCAGGTGTAGGTATGAGTGAGGGATTGCAGGAATGGTGCTAGGTAGAGATCACAGGGTCAAAAAAGTATGGCAAGGAAAGGTTTATGGCAGAAGTCAAGGAAGGGAAGAAGCTCGCTATGGGTTTCCAAACCCAGACTACAGCTGAATTTTTTTTTTATAACCCCAACTATGAAGGAGTGGCAGAAATCAAGGAAGGGAAGAAGCTTGCTATGGGTTTCTCTAGTTCGGATTTCCAAACCCAGACTACAGCTGAATTTTTTTTTATAACCCCAACTATGAAGGAGTATAGCTTGTCTTAGAATTGTGTATATGTCACATGGAGGAAAGTACATAATAATGTTAAAAGCAGAACTGTGATATCAGTGAAAGCTGGGTTCAAATTTTGGCTTCACCAAACTATGTCAATTGGCACAAATAATTTAGCTTTTATGCATCTGCCTTTCTTTTGCTGTATCTTGAAGATAAGAGTGTTACAAGACCAGAATGCAATAATGTAGATAATATAATGCTTGGCATGGTTGTTGCATGTAGAATATGCTGAAAAAATACTGGCTATTATTATTATTTAAAAACAGAATAGTCTCTGACAGCAAGAAAATATATAACAAATTACAAAGTCTTATATGGATCACATACATGTGACATATTAAAAATGAATAAAGAAAATGTGAAATGATAGAGGCTGTGATGAGATGAAAAAAATAAGATAGATGGCAAGAGTCAGAAGAATAAAAATAAAAAAGTGGAAAAGAGACACCTGCGAGATTTTGAAAAAGATCTTCCACTGATGTCCAGGTTCTCCTTTCCTGATTTCCAAGACGTAAGAAACAGAACTGAAGGACGGGCATCCCTGTGTGTATTTGTGAGCCCTCCTGTTTAGGAGCAGCCATCACTAAGCCAGAATCCTATTAAGTGCTGCACCATTGTAGCTTTCATCCCCTTTTGCAACTAGAGTGCTGCTTCTAACCTCCTTCTGTGTTTTTCTAGAACTAAGAGACAGGTAGAAGTCAGAGGGAGGAAACCTGCACCAGAGCACCCTAGTATATTTTAGAGACTGTGTTAAACCAGAAATGGACCTGGAACAGTCTCCAGTCCAGGCATTACTGGCTAGAGAGAAATCATGGATTAAAACCCAGAAAGGCAATAAGAAATTTCTGTTTCAATTTGCAGTAGGAATATGCAAATTGAAAGACTAGAAACATACAAAGATGAAAACTTACAGTAGATACAGATATCAAAAGATAAGGCAAAATAAGTCACCACTAGGCTCAGCTAACTTGAAAAACCGGGAATAAGAGGTTAACAAGAACCAGAGGTACAAAGCAAGATTTCCCAGAGGTAGGTCTACCAGATCTAGCAAATAAGGACACCAAGTTACATTCAAATTTCAGATGAACCAAAAATAATTGCCTTAATAAATATAATAAATATGGCCTGCGCAATACTTGGGGCGCACTTATACTACAATGATAACTGGTTTATCTGAAATTCATATTTAACCGAGCATCCTGTTTGTTACTGTCAACTCTATCTAGATAGCTAGTTAATTCACTAGTCATTAAGTAGTTTATGGCAAAACCAGCTCAATATTAGTGAGATGTTACAAAAAGAAGTGAATGGCAAGGAATTGCAGAAACAAAGGAGAAAAGTAAGATCAATTATAGTTGTAGATGCCAAGAACAGGAAGGGGTAGACATCAGCCTCAGAGTTGTGAATGCGAAGTCAAAACCAGAACCCAGAAAAGCACACAGAGAGCAGGCAATGTGTATCAAGAAGTGGATGCTTCACCCTAAAGCTTGTCAGAGGATCTTCTTGTCATGGGTTTTCTTTGAGGTTCCAGGGCTTTCCACCCTGATTCTTAGCAATTTCACCTTCCTTCTCCTCCTAACAGAAAACAGACACCTTGAAATTTAGATAGAGTTACCCCAACAAGTAAGCTTTTATTTATTTATTTTTTTACATTTTTTAAATTATACTTTAAGTTCTAGGGTACATGTGCACAACGTGCAGGTTTGTTACATATATATACATGTGCCATGTTGGTGTGCTGCACCCATTAACTCGTCATTTACACGAACAGAGAACACAACAAGTAAGCTTTTATAAGACCTACTGGGCAGGTAGTCTTTCTTGATATGGATAGACTAGGCTGCCATCTATGCACGGAGTCAATAAATATATACCGAATGCTTACTATGTGTCAGGAAGTGTTCTGTGTGCCTTATATGTTCATCTAGTGTATTTTAGAAGTAGCTCTTACATCAAATTCACTAGGATTGAATGTTAAGAATGCAAATTCCTGGACTCCATGCCAGCTGTGAAAACCTCTAAGGGAATCTGGGAATCTTCACTTTCATAAATGCTTCAGAGGATTCCTAAATTTTTAGAATCACTGATGTACCAACTGTTTAGTACAAGCAGGTATGTCAGTACCTTTGACTTATGAGAAATACGTAAGAGAAAAAACAAAATGCAGATAATGGTATCTGCGAAATTAAATGTGCATAGGCTGGTACCAGGTGACAATAAAGGACTTGCCCAAGCCTTTTGGCTAGTAAATGTCTGAGATGGAACTCATGTACAAGATTCCCATTTCAAAGTATGGCTCTTACTTCCCTACATTCCAGACCCTATACCTCAAAATGAGTGTATCTGTCACACGTGTGCATTTGTGAGCGCACATCTGCTGTGTGTGTGTGCACGCGTGCACCACCTTGGCACCATGCCTTTCTAAGGACTTAGTGAAGACCACTGTGATGAGGCCACACTGTGACAGTGGGCTTCAACCCTGCCAGAAGAAAGGGACAGACACTCATCCTTATGGCTTAGGAAGGTCAATAGGCACTGATTCTTTATTCTCAGTCTTCTGTAAGTTTGATTCAATGCTGAAATGTACCTTTATTTCTAAGGCTCATGAGACTTAGCTGCCAAAAGAAGGTGCTCTTGATTCACAGAGAGAAACTGTGCTCTGAAGAGTGCATGTCACAATACTGTCCTGACACACCTGCCATAGCACACAGAAGTGAATCACACTGCATTCAATAGCACCTGCATTGGGAGATGCTTAAAGCCCTTAGTTGGCGACCTGGCTCAACCCTGCCATATCTCTGTGAAATAAAAAGAAGGGAGATGGATTTATTCCCATTTTACAGGTAGAAAAAGTAAAGGAGAGAAACCAATGGTAATTTTTTTTCCAAGGCACTAGAGGTCAAAATTAGATAAAAACTGAGAACAAACATCCGCTCTTTTGCTTCCCCCAATAGGTTACATGGAATTATTTTCTCATTTCTATCTATCTCCTTCCTACATGGAATACATTGCAACCTCCTTCCTAACTGTCCCACTTCAGCTCCCAAATCGAGGATGGCAGAAGACAGAAGTTTGCAAAGAAAAGGTTCAGAAGGAAGTTAGAATAAAGAACATTCTAATGGCGAGTCAGTGCTCTGTGACTTTCATGGGCCAAGGATAAACAGAACCTAGGATTCGACTAATCTCAATAGTAACCTAACCAAAGAAACACCTCAGGTATCATCTGTTTCTTTCTTTCTTTTTTCTTTTCTTTTTTTTTTTTTTTTGAGACGGAGTCTCGCTCTGTTGCCAGGCTAGAGTGCAGTGACACGATCTCGACTTACTACAACCTCCACCTCCTGGGTTCAAGCAATTCTCCTGCCTCAGCCTCCCAAGTAGCTGGGACTACAGGCGTGCACCACCACACCCAGCTAATTCTTGTATTTTTAGTAGAGACAGGGTTTCACCATGTTGGCCAGGATTGTCTCGATCTCCTGACCTGGTGATCTGCCCGCCTCGGCCTCCCAAAGTTCTGGGATTACAGGCATGAGCCACCGTGCCTCGTCTCATCTGATTCATTTTACAGAAGAGGAAACAGAGACTCAGAGGTAGGGGATGAGCTTGAGATACAGGAGATGAAAGCAGCAGGGCCTGGAGGACAAAGCCCCCTTCTTGGCCCCAGCTCCAGAGCTCCTACCGCTGGAATGAACTTTACCAGTGGGGTCTGGGGAGAGCTGTCAGGTTTGAAGGTCTTTCTCTCATTTCTCTCTCTGTTATATGGATATGATGCCTCTTTTATAAAAGAACATATGCCCCCACCCCAAAAACTTTTCGGGACCCAATGTGTGTTCCTTTTAAACTCCAAAATTCAAGTCCAAGAGCTACAAAAAAGTTAAAGTATAAGGGGTATAGCTGAACAGGAACATGAAACATAACATATCAGATAAGCTTAGATTATTATAAACCTAGATTATTATAGTTTCTTCAGGTTTTTTATAAGTAGAGTTTTTTTTAACTCATAAGAAATATTCATATATATATATATATATATATATATATATATATAGACACTCCCTTATAATAAACACAGAAGCACACTGTTCCCAGAATCTTTGGCTTGGCTGAAATATGATGATATTCTTAGTTCTTCATATGGGGGGTGGAAAAAGCCTCTGAGCGCTCCAGGCTTTTTATAGCTCTGGCTCATGGGCGGCTTTTGCTGCAGTAGCAGCCCTGGATAGCAAAGGAGCCAAATAATGCTAATGGGGCAAACAGAATGTAATTGCTTATGTGTGCTGGTTATATCCTGAAACAAATTGTTTCTTAATGCTGAGGTCAGACAGGGTTTAATTAGGAGAAATACAATTGGTGTAAAATTCTGCAGCAGGCTGCTTGTTTGGTGTCATGCCAAGTCAACATCTAGTCTCTCCAAATGGAAATTTTCATTAGAGGCCATTGGCAGCCCTAGTTAGGCTGAGTTTCAACTTTTCCAAGTCTCCTGGTAATGTAAACCTGAAACTCAGCATATCTCCTGCCTAATAAAGGGTTGTCCTCCTTGCATTTATAAGCACTTGAACATGTGCACGCTGTCTTTCTCTGTTACTCACATACCCTGCCGTCCCAGTCACCCCACTAGCAAAACACATTTCCCACGGGAACTGGGTGAACTCAAACAGTTTTCCTCTTTCCTTCACCATTTTCCCTCCTTCCCTGTTCCCACGTTAATAATAATCTTCAATCAACATATTATTACTTCAAAAATATTTTCCTACACATCAATTCATCTAATCTTACCGCTAAACCTGAAAGGTGAATGGTTTTATATTTGTAGGTAGGAGGCCCAGCACAGGTCATGTCTATGACTGGCTAAGAGTGAGTCTCAGACCTCTTGGTTTTGAGCCCTGGGCTTAGGCTAACCCACAGAACTCGGGGTTCACACATGCTGAGACATCCACATTTGCTCATGGAAATGAACAGGCACAAAATGATCTCTGTTTATTCTTTTCTTTATGCTTCATTTTATGTGCTATCTATGAAGAAGTAAGAGTGCAAGGTGTTATTATTCAAACTGCACAAATTTCCCCAAGACTTTGCAAACACTCTTGATGAGATGTGACCCTTTCTTTTGTGTCTCTCTTTTGAGACATGTCTTTTCATACACTCCAAGATCTCAGTGGATGCCTGCAGCAGTAATACTGCTATTTACATTAATTTTAAGAGCCTAGATCTTCACACCTTCAAGGATAAGGTTTTATCAGTGTTTCTAATATAAATCTTATGTCTCAAAAGTTGTTTAATTTATTTGGAAAATTCTGCTTCTAGGCTTCTATTGTTTCTCTCTCTTTCTCTCTCTTTTCCTTTCAGCTGAAGGCAGTTTTCATTACAGTGACAAAGACCCCACTATGTTAAAGAAAATTGCACAGAGAGACCCCAAAAATCCATCTACCCAACAGAAATCTAAGTCATTTTCCCCTGCAGTATCATATCAGCAGTAACCGTCATGGGTTTAAAGACATATGGGACCAAGTTTTCATTTTGATATGTGATTCTGCTTTGCCGAGGCCCAGGCTCCTTGTGAGCTGAGCCACATTTCATTTAGGTGCTGGGCCTCTGAGCCTATGATAATGTGCCCAGTTAGTGTCAAGGTAAAGGTCCGTACAGCACAAGCAATTACTAAGCGATCCCTCCTCCTCAGCCCTGCTGAGCCAGGAGGCCATGGGAGATGCCTTTGACAGGGGAGCCTTCTTAGCTGCCCAGGACTCTGTTCCAGGGTATGTTCCTTTTGAGACCGGGAGTTACTGGAATTCTTGTACCATGCAATGTCGAATGCAGATTTCTCACTCATCTCTATTCCCACAGGCTGACATCCCACTGAAGCTACCTTTGGCTTTAAACCACAGATGCCTCTCTTCTACAACAAGCTTATACCAGAGATTAAAAGCACATGTACCCTAAAACTTAAAGTATAATCATAAAATAAAATAAAATAAAAAGAAAAAAAACACTGTTAAGTTTGCTTTCTACACAATTTAAATTTTCAGTATTTAAAAATTTTCCTATGTTACTATTGTATAGTTAAGTCTTCCATAACACTAGTTCTGAAATTGTGCATTTGTTCCAGTGCAATGGATACACCAGGGAACAATTCAAGCATAACGTGAATTTTGCATTTGCTGATGTTCAATTTTGTCCCTGAGAACAGCAAACTGCATGCAGCTGAACTGAACTGCATAGAAATACACATGCCCACAACTCCACCATCTATCAGCCACTCTGGCTTACAGTGTGTGTGATTCCACAAGCCTATGTTTTTTATTTTATTCTACTTTAGGTTCCAGGATACATGTGCAGAACATGCAGGTTTGTTACATAGGTATACATGTGCCATGATTGCTTGCTGCACCTGTTAATTCATAATCTAGGTTTTAAGCCCTGCATACATTAGGTATTTGTCCTAATGCTGTCCCCCTCACATCCCCAAACTTCCAACAGGCCCCGGTGTGTGCTGTTCCCTTCCCTGTGTCCATGCGTTCTCGCTGTTAGACTCCTGCTTACGTTCTGTAATTCTCTCATGTTTGTGAGCTTTTTCATGAAAACAAAACACAAAAGCAAAGCAGAACAAAAAATACACACTCATTGAGCATCCTAAACACTCTGTGTGTCCTGGCTCAAAATGCCAAGCCGTGCCTGCAAAAAAGAAAGCACTATCTGTATTCGAAGATCTTTCATAGAAATTGCCAAGTCCAAAAGTGGCCCTTTTGATGTCAGTAGTGGCTGTTTAGTGGTTTCAAAAACATTGCTACGATTTCAAATCCATGAAGGAATTTCCAGCAGTGTTCCAGAAGTTAATTAAAGAAGAAGGCTATAAGCTGCATCACATTCCTAGTTTTGATGAAACAGATATCCCTTTAAATGCATACCTTGAAGGACTTTCATCTCAATGGCAGAAAAATATGCCCCAGAATTTCAGCACGCAAAAGATGGCTCTACTCTGATGTTCAGTACCAAGACTGAACCAAGAACAATGAACCACACCCATCCACATCTGCTTCTACAACTTTCCACCTAATTTCAGAGAGCCCTCCTTCGACCACTTCACAATAACTCAACACAGTGCAGTTCTTCCAAAGCCTGATTCCACAAGCTAACTTCCAGTTTTGTTTTGTTTTTTTCTGGGCAAAGGGCTGTATTTATTGTATTTATGTATTCCATAAGCATGAAACATGTATGAAACTGTACTTTTATTTTTGACGTATCACTGAAAAAGGTTTTGAGTATTATGCCCCAACCCTACTTTCTCCATAAGCCTTGTGGATTTTACTGTGCAATTTTTTATGGCACAATGATTTTTTGGGGATACATATGTCTGTTATAGCAGAACTGACTACACTTGATTCTTATCTCGGCGTTGCCGTGGTCTTCCAGTATTTCAAATATGATGATGGGTTAGAGATTTCACATCTAGCATGCCCAGAACAAAATTCCTGATTATTTTCCCATAGTTTTCTTCACCCACAGTCCTTACCAGGTGCGTGAATAGGTGGCTCCATCTTTTCATTGACTCTGTCTAAAAACCCAGCAGTTATCCTTAACTCTTCTCTTTGTCTTACCCCACATTCTGATGGCTCTGTCTTCAGAATGTATCAATTTTTCAAGATCCTACTGCTCCCAAGTCACTGGGTTACTCTAACAGCCTCTAAACATGTCTCCTTTCTTGCCTTTTGCCTGACCCACTTTCTTCATTCACATCTATTCTAAACCCAAGAGCCAAAGTGCTCTTTTTAAGCCGTAAGTCACATCATGCCACTTCTCCACAGCACTCCAGTGGCTTCCCATCCAACTCCAGGTGAGAGCCGGAGGTGCACCGAACCTGCATAGCCCACCTGCCCCAACCCACCTGAGTTTCCTCCCCAGAATCTCCTTCTATCCCTCTTCCTCTGGTTCACACCACCCCAGCTGCCCTGCCTGCCACCTGTCCTCCCTCACACATGGCAGACACATTCTTTCTTCACAGTTTTTGCTCTGGCTGTCCCCCTGCTGAAATGGGATTCACCAAGGCGTCTACATGGCTGGCTCAATCTCTTATTCCCAGTTTTTGCTCAAATGTCTTCTCAGCACTTTTTTTTTTTTTTTTTTTTTTTGAGACGGAGTCTGCTCTGTCGCCCAGGCTAGAGTGCAGTGGCGCAATCTCGGCTTACTGCAAACTCCGCCTCCCGGGTTCACGCCCTTCTCCTGCCTCAGCCTCCCGAGTAGCTGGGACTACAGGCGCCCGCCACCGCGCCCAGCTAATTTTTTTGTATTTTTAGTAGAGACGGGGTTTCACCGTGTTAGCCAGGATGGTCTCGATCTCCTGACCTCGTGATCTGCCTCGGCCTCCCAAAGTGCTGGGATTACAGGCATGAACTACCGCGCCCGGCCTCAGCACCTTCTTTAAACTTGAACCAAGTATTGCCAGTCCCCTTCCCTGTTATATTTTTCTCAATAGAATTATGATTTTTATCTTCTTACATTTGTTTCTTGTTTTGTTACCCCCCCTCCTCCGCCTCCCTCCATTGGACTATGTCTCCTAAACACAGGGATTTTTGTCAGTTCTAGAAGCTGCATCCCCAGCTTCTAGAGCAATGCTTGGCATGTAGTGTATGCACAATAAATATTGGTTGAATAAATAAAATAAGGGATTGGTCTCTTTGTGTGAGGTAAAACAGAGGAATAAGGAGGACCAATGACCAGAAGTTACAAAGAGGCTCAATCTAAGAAATAATAATTCAATCATCCAGTGTGTTTCACAAGACTGGAAAAAACTAGAGAGCTTTCTAGTTCCCTGTTATTCAAAGCGTTTAAAGGGTGAGGGCACAGTTCCACCGCACCATGAATAGGTGGTGTGGACACTGGGTTGGTGCATCATATTGCACCCAAGCATAAACAAGGTCTTAGGTCTCTTTGTGCAATGAAAGTCTTTTATTATTATTATTATTATTATTATTATTATTATTATACTTTAAGTTCTGTGTGTGATTCCACAAGCCTATGTTTTTTATTTTATTTTAAGTTCTGGGATAATGTGCAGAAGGTTCAGGTTTGTTACATAGGTATACATGTGCCATGGTGGTTTGCTGCACCTATCAACCCATCATCTAGGTTTTAAGCCCCACATTCATTAGGTATTTGTCCTAATGCTCTCCCTCCCCTTGCCCCCCACCCCCTGACAGGCCCCCGTATATAATGTTCCCTCCCTGTGTCCATGTCTTCTCATTATTCAACTCTCACTTATGAGTGAGAACATGCAGTGTTTGGTTTTCTGTTCCTGTGTTAGTCTGCTGAGAATGATGGTTTCCAGCTTCATCCATGTCCCTGCAAAGGACATGAACCCATTCTTTTTTATGGATGCATAGTATTCCATGGTGTATATGTGCCACATTTTCCTTATCCAGTCTATCATTGATAGGCATTTGGGTTCGTTCCAAGTCTTTGCTATTGTAAATAGTGCTGCAGTAAACATACATGTGTATGTGTCTTTATAGTAGCATGATTTATAATCCTTTGGGTATATACCCGGCAATGGGATTTCTGGGTCAAATGGTATTTCTGGTTCTAGATCCTTGAGGGATCGCCACACTGTCTTCCACAATGGTTGAACTAATTTACACATGCACCAACAGTGTAAAAGCGTTCCTATTTCTCCACATCCTCGCCAGCATATGTGGTTTCCAGACCTTTTAATGATCACCATTTTAACTGGAGTGAGATGTATCTCATTGTGGTTTTGATTTGCATTTCTCTAATGACCAGTGATGATAATAAGCTTTTTTTTCATGTTTGTTGGCCGCATAGATGTCTTCTTTTGAGAAGTATCTGTTCATATCCTTCATCCACTTTTTGATGGGGTCATTTCTTTTTTTTCTTGAAGTTTCTCATAGATTCTGGATATTAGACCTCTGTCAGATGGGTAGATTGCAAAAATTTTCTCCGATTCTGTAGGTTGCCTGTTCACTCTGATGATAGTTTCCTTTGCTGTGCAGAAGCTCTTTAGTTTAATTAGATTGCACTTGTCAATTTTGGCTTTTGTTGCAATTGCTTTTGTTGTTTTAATCATGAAGTATTTGCCCATGCCTATGTCCTGAATGGTACTGCCTAGTTTTTCTTCTAGGATTTTTATGGTTTTAGGTCTTCTTTAATCCATCTTGAGTTAATTTTTGTATAAGGTGCAAGGAAGGGGTCCAGTTTCAGTTTCCTGCATATGGCTAGCCAGTTTTCCCAGCACCATTTATTAAATAGGGGATCCTTTCCCCATGGAACGGAAGTCTTTTATTCCTGTTTGTGTTGAATTTCCCACTATTTCCTTTCATTCCTTAGAAAAGGCTAATAGCTACTTTCTTATAACTATTTAGTAGTATAGGAAAGTGATTATGTTATAATAAAAAATATACTGTACCACATAGGAGTTACAAATAATACACTTATAGACTGCCTGTCCCATCTGCCTCCAAGGCCTATGGGAAGCATCAGATAGGATGCTTACGAAAGCACTTTGAAAAAGTAACTCTAGAAACACAGCATAGACATGGCAACAAAAAAATTATGTTCAATGTTCAATATATTTTTTGGACTATAAAACTTCTTTACAGTAATACCATAAAATGAGACTTCATCTACATTAAGGCATAATTATGAAATTTTTCATACCAAAACCGGGGTGGAAAAAGATGGTATTTACTGAAAGAGAATGCTCATTGTGTTCCCTGGGATGAGGAAAATTTTGGATGGTAATTTGTTGCTGTTACCATAAATAACATCTCAGTTGACTTAATGCCCTTCAATATAAGATTAATAATAATATAATATCAATATCAATCTGGATAAACTTTACCAAGATTTGCAAACTTACTTCTATCAGGGAAGGCGCTCAAAGAAAGGAACTAAAAATGGGTACTTGGGAGTACTGGGAATTTTCAACCTCACTTTGTAAATCTTCTAAGACGGTACCGGTCCATGATCTCACCATCTGTTAGGAACTGGGCCGAACAGCAGGAGGTGAGCAGTGGGCCTGTGAGCATTAACACCTGAGCTCCGCCTCCTGTCGGATCAGTGGCAGCATTAGATTCTCCTAGGAGGGCGAACCCTGTTGTGAACTGTGCATGCGAGGGATCCAGGTTGCGTGCTCCATATGAGAATCTAAGTAATGCCTGACGATCTGATGTGGAACAGTTTTATCCTGAAATTATTCCCCACTCCTACCACCCCCACACACCCTCGTCCATGGAAAAATCGTCTTCCATGAAACCAGTACCTGGTGCCAAAAAGGCTGGGGGCCACCGTTCTAAGATACAGAAAACTAACTGTATGTCAGTGTGCGGGTTGTTCAATAACCAGCCTGTGCACAGAGCTGGCTGCTGTACTCTTTCCTGGGAAAGGAAATTCACTTCCCTTGTAAAGATGACACTGAACTAATGAGTGAGGGTTGTTGTCATGGCATTGTTAGTTATCAGCCAGCATGGACAAGCCAGCTGCCTTTGGCATATTTAGCTGAACATGGAGAAAAGCAAGAAGGGCTTTTGCTCCTATGTGAAGCAGAAGATGGTGAGCTGCTGGATGCATTTGGAGCTAGGCCCTGAGAACAGCCTGGTAGTCCTCTGTGGACCAGGGTATAAGGAATGAATGTGCTTCCTTCTAAAGCCTTGCACAGAGTGATGGTTTTTCGGGACTGAGAAAATCACAAGGAAGCCTGGGTGAGCGATGGAGCTCTGAGACTCCTCCTATTTGCATGCAGTTCAGGAAAGGAAGAAGCTGTTTAAAGGCAAAGATTTTAGCTGCACTGGGAGCTTTGGCCTTTTCAGTGGAGAGACCCAAGAGACTGCCTGTCAAAACAGAAGTCTCTTACTAAAACTCCCTAAGTGCGAAGGCCTGGGCAGTCAAGAGGGGCTGGGACGGGAGAAGGGGGGCCATGAAGGAAAGGCAAACCCACCACAGCCATGGAGTCCGGGTGACATGCAGACAGAGGGAAGGGGGAGCAGGACACAGGGGGAGGAACTTAAAAAAAAAACAAAAAGCAGACAACCGGCTGTGTGTTTCCAAGCAGATTTCCCCCTGGACAGCAAGCTGTAGCGATGCGTATTTTTTTAAATTCATTAATTCCATTTTACAAATAAGAAAGTGAGTTTATTTGCATTTTCCCTAATTACATCTTCCCTGTTCCCTGTCCTTTCCGATTCTCTCCGTGGTGATTCCCACTGCGAGATTGGCTTGGCAGGGCTGCGCTGAGCAACTGTAGGGTATTCTGCTGTTTCTTTGCTCTCTTTCCTTTTTAAAAATCGAGTCAAAGCCCCTTTCTTTCAGTAATCCCCGATGTTCCCTCAGGAGCTGAGTTAAGATTTAATTGTGAAATTTGCCTAGTAACTCAGCAAATAAATTCTCCCATCTCTCATAGACCTTCCACTGCAGAGGGCCATTTTAGTTATAAATCACTTACTTCTCCGTTCCCAACTGCATCAGCATTTTGTGCCCCTGAGCAAAGTGGAAAGGGGAAAATATCCAAGGACACACCGAATTGGCGTTTGGCTTTCGTGTCTCGTGAAGGGCAGGGTAGAGGTAGAGGCTGGATGAGGGAGTGACTGGCAAACACCGTCTTTCCACCTGCTGCTTCTTTAAGGAAAACCCATGTGGGAATGACCTGGGCCTCCGACCCACACCCAGGAAACCACACACTCCTGATCCCCTTTCAGCATGTGTCATGCTAGGAAATCCAAAGAAGGAAGCTGAAACTGCACCCAGGCGTGACGGTTCCCATTTTCTCCACCTAAGTAACACTCTGAAGTTGCCCACAGCCTAGGCAATCACAGTAAAACATGGTGGGAATGAATTTGGCAAGCAATAGTCTAAGGAGGGTTGTATTCCTATGGCAATATCAAGGCTGCAAAGGAGAATGTGTCCCCGGTCTAGTCCAAGTCCACCTGGAGGCTTGGGTTCCATCTGGGACTGAATCTAGAAAGATTTGTGAGTTTTTTTTCTTCCTTCTTTTCCCAGGCTGAAAATATTCTCAATTCTGGACTCTTCCAAAATATTGTAAATATGATTGTTTGGGCCAATTCAAATTAAAAATTTTACCAGAGCCCAGAAAACTTTTCCTATGATATCTTTGCATGTTTTATCTTAATGTCCAAACTAGAGCCCCCTTTCTATCATGAGTCAAACCTGAGTGTGGCTTAGATTACACAGGACAGTCACAGCACGTTGCATAGCTGAGATGAAAGAAAGAAAGAAAGAAAAAAGAAAGAAAGAAAGAAAGAAAGAAAGAAAGAAAGAAAGAAAGAGAAAGAAAGAAAGAAAAGAAAGGAAAGGAAGGAAGGAAGGAAGGAAGGAAGGAAGGAAGGAAGGAAGGAAGGAAGGAAGAAAGAAAGGAGTATCAGAAAAACCAAGGAACAATACAAGGAAGTCTTAAGAAAGGGGGAAGAAGTGTATTTGAGTAGTCATTCTGGATATCCAATATCTCTGCCTAGAAATAACAAAATGTGAGTGATACTGAGCATAGGCCACTCTTGGACCTGTGTAGCATCCCGTGGTCCCTTAAAACTTTCCAGTCTCCAAGAAGGAACCCTACCTGACGACAAATTGCTGATTTGGATTATCAGAGGTTAAACTGCTAATGAACCAAAGTTTGATAATCTCATTTTAAAGAATGTTGCTACTCTTTAAGAAAAAAATTGACAAAGAACAAATAAGGAATTTTATGCAGATAAATTGCATTCACCTAAAAATTTGAAGATTGCTGATCAAACGCAAGCCCTGTAGTCATATTTCTTTCAAACAACTGATTTCAGTTCTTTATTTATTCTGTAGCTGATCAAAACATGGTGCCCTAATTTTTAAGTTATGCTTGTCAGCCCCAGGAGATTAATGAAAATTTGAATTCCATAGATGAATCAGCAAGTCAGCATGTCTCGCAGATGCGTATCTCCCCACTGGCATACACCAAGTGGTCCTCCGATGTAAGACTTCCCTTTTTTCTCCTTTCCTACATCTCCAGTGTGAGTCAATGAAAGATTCTAGGATTGAATTGAAACTGCCTTTTTCTCCTGATTCTATAACTAAATCAATAATATTTCCAGGAAAATGTTATCACAAGAAATCATAATGAATATAATATAGCTAGCTAGAAAAACGATGCCTATTTGAAACCAACACCAGGCGTATGAGTGAAATACTAGTAATGTTTATTCAAATCAGGAATAAGAAAAGGTGTCTATTCTAGCCTGTCGGTCATTATTGTTTTGGAAGTACTGGCTAATGTAATGAAACAGAAGAAAGCATCAAATAAACATAAGCATTAATAATAGGAGATATCATTTATAAGTTATATGACTATATGCCTAGAAAATCCAAAATAATAACTAAAATTAGTAAGAATTATTGTTAAGCTAACAGGAAAGTATGATATGTTTTAAAAGCATTCTACTCTAACAATATAAGTAAAAATATGGACAAGTACAAAGAAATAGAAGAAGGTTAGAACAGCAGAGAAAGCTTTCTTGGAAAGCCCTGGAGAGTCTCACAATTCCAAAACTCAGGAACAGGAGTTAGAAATAGGACATAAAACCTAAACACAGGAAGATTAATTGAAAGACTATACAACAGTGACTTTTCTTGCCCCTTACCCCAATTCTGGCAAGAGGAATCTCTGACAACCAGGCATTGAATGCCACTATCCCTCCATAAATGGATGGATCTTTATAAATAAGAAGAATGCTTGGATGTTGGTTGCAAAACAAATACATCCTCATGTCAGTGGTCTCAAAGCTTAATCACCACTTCCCCATTTCATCTAAAGCTGCTAGTCCACAACCCTTGCCCATGTACAAGACAGACAAAGACTGAAGTCAACTTTACAAATGCTTGATCCGGGACAGGGGCAGGTAACTTGAGAAAGGGTGGAACTTGAAAGAGAAAGAAAAGATAGCAACATAGAACATAGGATGAAGGAAAAAATAAAAGAAAAAGAAGTGTTGAGAGGAACAATAGCCTCTCATCAGTACCCTCAAAGAAATTAAGATGATCTTAATTTACAAAACAAAAAAAAATAGGAAGAGAAAAAAATATGATGGGAAAACGAGAAAGATCTGGCAGGGCTCATGCCTGTAATCCCAGCACTTTGGGAGGCTAGGCAGGCGGATCACTTGAGCTCAGGAGTTCGAGACCAGCCTAGGCAGCATGGTTTGGGCAACCAAACCCCATCTCTACCAAGAAATACAAAAATTAGCCAGGCGTGTTGGTGCGTGTCTGTAATCCCAGCTACTTGGGAAGCTGAGGTGGGAGAATTGCTTGAACTGGGGAGGCGGAGGTTGCAGTGAGCTGAGATCACACCATTGCACTCCAGCCTGGGCAAGACAGCCAGACCCTGTCTCAAAAAAATAAAAAGAAACAAAGAATCTCATATGATGGTTAAAAGATAAAAGCATCCTCACACAAAATAAAAAACAAAATGAACGCATCTGAGGTAAAAAACAAGTAACAGAGTTGATCCCTGCAAGAGGTAAAATAGCCAAGAGGAATTTCAGAATGAGAACAGAGAAAGCAAAAAGGAAGACACTGAAGAAGTGATACAGTAAAGGTTTCTCAGACCTGTAGAAAGACTGAGTCTCCGGGGTGAAAGCGTTCTCTGAGAACCCCAGCAGAATGAATTCCAACACCCACACAGTCTCGTCAGAACACCAAAAGTGAAGACACCATTTCAGTAGCTTCCAGGGGAAAAAAGCAGGTCACAGAAATGGGAATTAGACCAGTATCTGTTGTCTCATTGGGAATACTCTATACAAGAATATAATGGAGCTTAGGCTATTATGCTCTAAAAGGAATTGTAATTAACACCAAATTCTATGCCAGGCAACCACGCCCCTACCCTGGTAGAGGACTGAAGAGACACTCTTGGAAAGGGTTTGGAACCAAGTATTCTCTGGACTCAGGGACACCAGACAACTCTTGGGCCCGGACTGGGGGACATCTCAGAAATGAGGTTTCAGTGAAAGCCTGCACACCAACAATAAGAATCCCAGACCCTTCTCCAGTTGGCTCCCAGGATACTGGTAGAGAAGTTTATATTTTGCAGGCAGAAGATGGAAGGTTTTCTCTCCAAGGGAAATGATGAGCCCAAGAAGAAAAAGACACTGGAGGGAAGCTGCAACATGAAAGTAAGAGAGACACCAAACAACTTGAAAGGAAATTTGCCATAAAGACATAATCAATACAGAGAGGGGGGAAAATACTTCCGAAATAGTCTTAGTGAGATAAGAGAACATTAATCCTTAAAACAAGAACAGGAAACTATAAAAATAATATTCAGTAAGAAAAATATTTTATACATTAAATTATGATGGCAGAAAATTCAAAAACATATGAATGGAAGCTATGAAAAATAAGCTTAGTAAATCTCTCAGAAAGTAGAATAAGAAGGTAGAGATGGCCAACATTAAAGGACATGAAATTAGAAAATCAACCCAGAGTGCTCAATGTCTAAATATTAGGACTTCTGAAAGGACAGAGAAAAAAGGGGAAATTTAATAAAGGCACTTGGATATTGATTTCTACCCTGAGAAATACCATCAAGCATCCATCCCATTAAATTAAAAGATGCCTTCACATGTTTATATAATTTTGACATTATTTTTGAAATACACACCAGGGAAAAAAAAAAGAGTCCTAGAAATGTCCGGGGAAAAAATAAACAGCCCATATGCAAAGAGACCTGGAATAGAAGTAGTAACTGACTTTTCCAAAGCAACCGTGGAAGCTGGACGACAATAAAAAAATTCCTTCAGGGATCTATGGAAAATTATTTCTAACCTAGAATTTTAATTCAGCCAAATTATTAATGGAGTGTGAGGGTAGCATAAAAATATTTTCAGTTGGTACAAATATATTCATGGGATCTTAGTATGCTTCTAAAGGCTGTGCTTCACCAAATATGAAATAAACCAAAAGAGAAGAAGACACAAGATTCAGTGAAAAATTGCACTCGCAATTTCCTGGAGGAAGGCCCAAGGAGGACTCAGGAGGACCACTGCACATCAGGCCCCGAGACCCAGTGGTCTGCACTGGGACAGAATGACTTTCTGAGGGAAACAACTGAAGAGATAGATTTGCCGATGTATTGAGAAGACTTTACACTTGCATGCATAGTTTGTTGATTAATGAGAAGCTTACAGAAAAATAAATGAAACAATATGTCAAAGTAGAGGAAATAGGTATTAATAATTCCAAGGGAAGCAGAAATTTACCAGGAATTTTGACTCTTTGTGAGTCAATGGTGAAAAATGTTTTACGTGAACTCTGATCAATTCTATGGCCAAAGTCTTGAGTTTTGATTCCATCAGAATTCTGTGAAATATGGAGATTTGTATAGAAGGGGAGTCAATCCCTGGAAATTGCATACGTTTCAAGTATTGGAAGACAGTCTCGGCATTCAGGAAGCTAGCTGGCCCTTTGTCAGAAACAGAGAAGACAGCCATTTATGCTAGAAGAGTGGCAGGACCAACTAAACACATGTGCCTCTAATTTGTAAACTGAGTGTCTATAAATTAAGAATGTTTTAAATCTGTTTTAACAGGCATCTTCTCAAGTATCCTGGATCACCTTTTTTGTTTGTTTTTTTAGGCAGGTACTCATTCCGTCACCCAGGCTGGAGTGCAGTGGTGCAATCATGGCTCACTGCAGCCTGACCTCCTAGGCTCAAGCAGATCCTTCTACCTCAGCTTCCTGAGTAGCTGAGACCACAGGTGCATGCCAAACACACCCAGCTAATTTTTGTATTTCTTGTAAAGATGGAGTTTCCCTGTGTTGCCCAGGCTGGTCTTGAACTCCTGAGCTCAAGCAATCCCCAACCTTCTGCCTCAACCTCCCAAAGTGCTGAGATCACACGCATGAGCCAATGCACCATGATCACTCTTCATAAAATCGCAATCTCCTTCATTCCCCACACCTTTTATTCAGCTTATATTTTGTTTATTTAATATCACCACCTGAGACAGGCTGCATTTTGTTTATTCATAGTTTGTGTTCCTCCACCTAGATTAGAATGTAAACAACAGGCTATCAGAGACTTTGCTTTCATTCATGGTTGAATGGCTGACACCTAAAGTAGTACGTAGAACAAATTAGTTACTCAATAAATACCTGTTAATTAAAGAACATAAAATTCCATTCTACATTAGACATTTTTATTGTTTAAGAGGTTGACATTTATTTATTTTAGGTTTTTCTCCAGCTTTATTGAGGTATAATTGACAAATCAAAATTGTGTCTATTTAAAATGTACAATGTGATTACTTGATATATGTACACACTTTGGAACAATTACCACAATCAAGTTAATTAACACGTCCATCACCTCACATAGTTACCACTTTTTTGTGTGATGAAAACAACAAATATCTACTTTTTAAAGTAAATTTCAAGTATAAAATACAATTTTATTCATTATAGTCACCATGCTGTACTCTAAATCCCAGAACTTATTTATCTTATAACTAAAAGTTTGTATACTTTAACTAACATCTCTCTGTTTCCCCCAACCCCAGCCCCTGGCAACCATCATTCTACTCTCTGCTTCTGTGAGTTCCACTCTTTCAGAGTCCACATATAGTGAGATCATAACAATACTTGTCTTTCTGTGTTCAGTTTATTTCGCTTAGTATAATGTCCTCCAGGTTCACTCATGTTGTCACAAATGGCAGGGCTCCCCTCTCATTTATCATGGTTCAATAAGATTCCATTGTATACGTGTGTGGGGGTGGGGGGTACCACATTTTCTTTATTCATCTGTCCACGGACACTTAGGCCATTTCTGTATCTTGGCTATTGAGCATAATGCTGCAATGAACATGGGGTGTAGATATCTCTTCAAGACACTGATTACATTTCTTCTGGATATATACCCACAAGTGGTATTGTTGGATCATATGGTACTTCTATTTTTAATTTTTTGAGAAACCTCCATACTGTTTGTTTTTGTTTTTGAGACAGAATCTCACTCTGTCACCCAGGCTGCAGTGCAGTGGTGCAATCTCAGCTCACTGCAATCTCTGCCTCCCGGGTTCAAGCGATTCTTCTGCCTCAGTCTCCCAAGTAGATAGGACAACAGGCGTTCACCACCACACCCAGGTATTTTTTTGTATTTTTAGTATAGATGGGGTTTCACCATGTTGGCCAGCCTGGTCTCGAACTCCTGACCTCAAGTGATCCTCCCACCTCAGCCTCCATACTGTTTTCAAAAGCTGCTGCACCATTTTACATTTCTACCAACAATGTACTAGGGTTCCCTTTTCTCCACACCCTCACTAACAATTGTTATCTCTTGCCTTTTTTATCATAACCATCCTGACATGTATGAGATGATACATACCTCACTGTGGTTTTGATTTGCATTTTCCTAATGATTAGTGATATTGAGCACATTTTCATACATCTCTTGGGCGTTTGTATGTCTTCTTTGGAAAAAATGTCTATTTAGGTCCTTTGTCCATTATTTAATGAGTTATGTGTGTTTTTTGCTATTGAGTTGTAAGTTCCTTACATATTTTGGATATCAACTCCTTATCAGATATATGGTTTATATATTTTGTCTCTCATTTAGTAGGTTTTCTTTTGATTTTGTTGTTTGTTTTCCTGTGCAGAAGCTTTTTAGTTTGATGTAGTACCACTTATTTAATTTTTGCTTTTGTTGCCTGTGCTTTTTGTGTCATATCCAAAAAATAATTACTAAGACCAATGTCAAGGAGCTTTTTTCTTATGTTTTATTCTAGGAGGTTTATGCTTTCTGGTCTTACAGTCTTTTGCCCATTTCATTTTTGTGTATGGTGTAAGATAAGAGTCCAGTTAAATTATTTTTCCATGTGGATATCCAGTTTTCCCAATACTAATTGAAGGATTGTGCTTTCCCCATTGTGTATTCTTGGCATTCTTGTCAAAGATTAGTTGACTGTGTATGTGTGAGTTTATGTCTGAGCTCTCTACTATGTTCTACTGGTCTTTGTGCCTGTTTTCATATCAGTACCATACTGTTTACTATACTTCATAATGTAGTTTGAAACCAGGAAATGAAATGTCTTCAACTTTATTCTTTTTTCCTCAAAATTTATTGGGTTATTTATGGCCTTTTGTGATTTCATACAAATTTTAGAACTATTTTTTTATTTCTATGAAAATGTTATTGAAATTTTTATAAGGATTGTATTAAATCTGTATATGTGGGTAGTATAGGCATTTAAACAATATTAATTCTTCCAATCCATAGACAATGGATAGCTTTTCATTTGTGTGTGTCTTCTTCAATTTCTTTCAGCAATGTCATAGTTTTCAGCACACAGGTCTTTCACCTCCTTTGTTAAATTTATTCCCAAGTATTTTATTGTTGTTGATGATATTGTAAATAGGATTCTTAAAGTTTTTTTCAATACTTAATTGTTAGTGTATAGAAACAACTAATTTTTGTATGTTGATTTTGTATCCTGAAACTTTACTCAATTCATTTATTAGTTCTAAGAGGTTTTTGGTGGACTTTTTAAGGGTTTCTATATAAAAGATCATGTCATCTGAAAACAGAGACAATTTAACTTCTTTCTTTATGATTTTAATGCCTTCTATTTCTTTTTTCTTGCCTATCACTCTGGCTACTACTACGCTGAATAGACATTGTAAGAGTCAACACCCTTGTCTTGCTCCCAATCTTGGAGGAAAAGCTTTTAGCTTTCCACTATTGAGTGTAATGTCAGCTGTGGTCTTGTTATATGTGGTTTCATTATGTTGAGGTACATTCCTTCTATACTGACTTTGTTGAGAGTTTTTATCAGGGAAAGATGTTGAATTTCATTGAATGCATTTTCTGCATCTATTGAGATGATCATATGAATTGTTATCCTTCATTCTGTTAATGTAGTGTATCACATGTACTGACTTCCTTGTTAAACCATCTTTACATCCAGGAATAAATCCCCCTTGATCATAGTGTATTATATTTTTAATGTGATGTTGAATTTGGTATTTTGTTGAAGATGTTTGGATCTCTGTTTATCAAGGATTTTGGCCTATAATTTTCTTTCCCTGTGGTGTCCTTATCTGACTTGGGTATGAGAGTAATGCTGGCCCCATAAAATGAGTTTGGAAGTGTTCCCTTCTCTTCAGTTTTCTGAAAAAGTCTGAGAAGGATTGGTGTTAATTATTATTTACATACTTGGTGGAATTTACCTGTAAAATTATCTGGTCCTAGGCTTTTCTTCACTGGGAGGTTTTTGATTACCAATTAAATCTCCATACTCATTATTGTTCAGATTATCTATGTCTTCATGATTCAGACTTGGTAGATTGTATGTTTCTAGGAAATTATTTATTTTTTCTGGGTTATCCAATTTGTTCACATATAATTTTTCATAGTAGTTTCTTATGATCCTTTGTACTTCTGTGTTATCCATTGTAATGTCTCCTCTTTCATTTCTTATTTTATTTATTTGAATCTTCTCTTTTTCTTAGTCTGTGTAAGGGTTTGTCAATTTTGTTTAGCTTTAAAAAAACTAACTTAAGTTTTGCTGATGTTTTCTTTTCTTTTTTTTCTTTTTTTCTTTTTTTCTTTTGACAGGGTCTCACTCTGTCACCCAGCTGGAGTGCAGTGGCATGATCACAACTCACTGTCGCTCAACTTCAAGCAATCTTCCCACCTCATCCTTCCAAGTAACTGGGACTACAGGCATGCATCACCACACCTGGATAATTAAAAAAATTTTTTTCTACAGATCTCACTATGTTGCCCAGGCTGGTCCCAAACTCCTTGGCTGAGGCAATCCACCCACTTTGGCCTCCCAAAGCATTAGGATTATAGGCATGAGCCACTATGGCCAGCCTTGCTGATCTTTTCTATCGTATTTGTAATTTGTATTTATTTATTTATTTATTTTTGCTCTAATCTTTATTATTTCCTTCCTTCTGCTAGCTTTGGGCTTAGCTTTTCCTAGTTACTTGAGGTGTAAAGCTAGTTGTCTATTTGAGATCTTTCTTTTTCCTTAATGTAGACATTTATTGTTTTAAACTTCCATCTTAGAACTGCTTTGGCTGCATCCCATAAGTTTTCTGTATTGTGTTTCCATTTTTATTTGTCTCAAAATATATCTTTATTTTCCTTTTGACTTTTTCTATAACCCATTGATTGTTCAGGAATATGTTGTTTAATGTCTACATATTTGTAAATTTTTCTATTCTCCCATTGATTTTTAGTTTCATATCATTGAGATCAGCAAAGATTCTTAATATGATTTCCATCTTCTCAAACTTTTTAAGACTTATTTGTGGTCTAACATATCTACATCCAGGAATAAATCCCCCTTGATCATAGTGTATTATATTTTTAATGTGATGTTGAATTTGGTATTTTGTTGAAGATGTTTGGATCTCTGTTTATCTACTTCATAAATTATTACATAAAATTCCCAATTTTTGTTTCAATATTACTTTTTTTTTGCTTCTAAAGCCAGAAGAAGAAATGTAAAATGCAATTTGACATACTTTAACTGAACAGCCCTATGGCCTGGAAAAAAAACATAACTTCAAAATCTCATAGGACTTTACCGTCATGAGATGTCTACCTTTCTAACCAAAACAATTCCATGTGTAGACATTTAAAAATTATGCCAAGACTCTACTTGAAACTATAAATCTCTTTTGAATGGGAGTTATTTAGTAAATTATGTCAAAGAGCAAAAAAATTAAGAACAAGAATTATCTGCATCTTTGTATGTAAGACTTTTATGTTCAACAGTATTTACTAAATTTATAAGACCTTAGTTTTTGCTTCACGAACCAAACTAAGAAAACAAACAAAATAATTTTGATGAAAACATCTTGGACTGATGTTGTGGAAAAGGTAAAATCCAAAATAGCACAAATCTGCTCAGCTAACTAATGTAGCACGAGGCCTACTTACATAATTCTTGGGGAGGGCAATTCTTTTTGAAGTAATTTTCACCCCCAGACCACAGGATAAATTAAGAGTAGAAAGGCTGGGTCAGAACACATGCAAATTCGGGGTACACATTTGATTATGAACATGAGATTGGTTGACTTAAACAATTTTGGTTTAATATTTCACTAATTAGGTAGGGGACAGTTCTGATTGTGATGAGATTGTCCCACTCCATATCAGATTTCCTAGGAGACACATTAATTAAAGCAATTCTCCTTCCTCATGAACTAAAACTTTACGGAGACTAAGTGTACCTCCCCCACCCTCATCCTGTCACACACTCAACTCTGTGTCCCTCTCTTGAGAAAAAGAGTGACAGCAAAAAAATAAAATCAAATAAATAAGAGGCAGAAATAGCATTGCAACCTTGGCAAGCTTGTCTGAATATTTTTAGAAAATTCCAAACAGCACAGATACAATAAATCACCAATGGCTCAGAAAGACATGACGTGACAGATCTTGCTATAACCACAGAGAAGGAAATACCATCAAACAAAAACTTTCTAAATGTAAATGTACAAAACTGCATGCAAATGCATGAGCCAAAGAATCATATGATAAACAGGTAGAAGAAGGATTAAAACTAGATATGTATCATCCCTTACATATCTCCTCGGGCCATCATTCAAAATAAGGTGCTCTAGCATATCTCTATGAAGAATAGTCACAAAAATTAAATAAATCCATATGATGATGGGACTGGGCATCTCATGTAGATTATGGCACAGGACCCATGATGTGTCTGCTGTTATCAAACTCCCTACATCATGGGAAAGACCATAGAATCAGGGCACAGCAGGAAGAAACTATTCCATCTTCTCCATCACTTCCCTGCTTTTCTACCATGACCATCAACAGGCTCAAAAAAGTCCACTGACACACCTGAGATGTTGGAATGTGACACATGGAGAGGGTGCAGTGAGGTAGGAAGAGCACAGAAACTGGAATGACATCAGTGGACGCTTGCATGGCATTCCTGTGACTTCTTTCTGTAATTTCCTAAGCAGTTTCTGGCCATACTTCCTCATCTTTAAAATGCAAATAATAATGTAGACTTTGCAGGTTGTTGAGCCAAGGAGACAATGAAAATTTCTCAAAACAGGGCTCACAATGGTAGCTATTTACCACCAGTAGCCAAATCCAAAGAGCACCCTTCCCACAGTCCCCTGATCCACTCAGTCTGCTTGGCATGCACTAGGAATGAAGGAGTACAGAGAATAAACATAAAAAAGGAGGTCAAAACTCTATATATAGCTATTAAGCAATCTAAAATGAATATCTTTGTGTTCAGTTAGCAAATATTTATTGTCTATTATATGCCAAAAATAATCTCTATTTATCAGACTCCTAACCTTATCTAACAAGACTATCATAAAAGATAGGTGATGATTTGCTGGATTGGTCACAATTTGAATTAGTTAGAAGTATTTATTAACTGTATATATTAGATTGATGTCCATTTCGTTGCATATTTAGAGAGAGAGATAAAGGAGGAGGAGGGGGAAGAGAAAAAGAGAGAGAGAGAAAGAGAGAGAGGAGGTGACCTGTATGTTTAGGGATTTTGAAGCAAAGGCAGCCACAGTTATTAATCTCTAATATGTATCCCCGAGTCCCTAAGAACATATGTGATTATAAAAATGAACATGCAGAAGGCTGTGATAGTCATAAGGGAATGAAGAATGGTAAGGCTCAGATAAGGACCTCCAAAAAAATCCTTTCATTGGAAATTGCACTCAAAAGCAAAGAAATAAAGTGGTACTAAGGCCTCACCATCTAGTTTGCAGAATTGAGACTTGTAGAGATTTTACTGACCATCTCCATTATTTGTCTAGTAATTTTCTCTTAAACTTTATTATTCTGGCATGAATTTTGGATTGTTCCAATTCTAGAACTGTCAAGGAATAGCAGCACACTCACAACAAACACCCTTCGAAGAAAACCCAGGAAGACCCATGCAATAGATTCCTGGGACTCAACTTAGAAGGCATGGTGGTACTCTTCACTATTTGTCTGCAGTGATTTGTGGAATAAATCTCTCACTTTTCCTAACCCTACTTTCTTTTGTTATTAAAATAAAAGTAATTATTCTCATGCACTTGCCTCAGAGAAAGCCGTGAGCACATACTTAGCAATTTTATAAGGAAGCTTTAATAGATCAGGAGGAATAAAGATGGGTGGATGGATGAGAGCACAGCATTGGCTGTTACTGCTGCCCCATCCACTAGAGACTAGAATATTAAACAGTCCAGTCACAGCCTGCTGCTAAACCTGTAGGCTCTGAGAAGAGAGACACATATCAACTCATTAATGTTCTGTAGTGAAACCAGAATAAGAATTCAGAGCCACCACACAAAGCTGACAAGAGAGAGGAGAACTGGTCTTACCAGCAATGTCGTTGGGGCTCCACTGGTTAGAGAAAAATGGAAATCAGAGTGGGCAGGTTTTCTTGGCAAGTCCCAAAATAAAAGGTAATAGGAAGCTCCTGTTCTCTAATTCTTTCTGAAACCATGAAGAAGCACGGTGCAAGGGAAAGCTTTGATAGAAGGCTTAAAGGGCTTCTTATTTCACCCAACCCATTTTCCTGGTCCTGCTGTCCACCAGGCTTGGCAAACCACACATTTGTATGTGTACCTGGGTTGATCTGTCATGGGAAATGTATTTTGGCTCTTATTCAAATCACTTTGATGCCTAGAAAGAGATATTACTTGTTATAAAGCCATGCCAAGATTGTTTCCAGCCTAAACACTTCTTTTTCTAAACCCAGGAGCTCGTGTGTGTCTTTAGCTTAAAAGTGACAAAGATGAAAGAAATACAGGTCTGATCAAATCTAAAATTATATAGACATGATTTCTCAGACACGTTTTTTAAGGTTAAGTAAATCCAACTTTCCAAATGCCCTAGGCTGCGTTGATCTCCAAGTATCTCTGGGGAAAGTGTGATGTCTATTAATAAATTTTTCTGCTTCCTTAGCTCAGGGTTTAGGAGTACACAAACTTACCCCCTCTGGAAGCATGTTACAAGATGGGACTTTCCTGGCTTCAACTTCTTCTGCAATGGGTAAGGAGTCTAGGAATGTGGGGATACTAACTATGATACTATGACATACCTGCCACAAATAAGTTTCCTATAATAATGTAATTAGGAAGATTGTGACTGTTTAACTTAGAGAATTTTCTAAAATGGGATTTAAGAAAAGATAGATAAAGGAAAAATGAGTGCACAAAATAAATGTGGGCTTCCAAATGATTTTAGTGACTTTTTTGAGGGAAACTTGGTGACTACGTAAGGCCAAATTGAAAAGCCCAGTATGGATTTTTAGAACTGGTTAAGAGATAGAAACTAAGAAGCAGAAATCAATGGTCATTTCTCAGCTTCAGACAAAGTTAATAGTTACTGCCTTAAGAATCTGATTATAGTTAATCCTCTAGTGCTAATTTTCTTCAATATATTTATTAACAACCTGGAAGTGTAAAATGTGCTGATAAAAAATAATTACGCAGCCTGTCAAGGCTCAGAGAAATTGTGAGCAGGGAAGAAATAAGTCACAAAGATAGCCAAGGAAAGAAATTCAGCTTAGCTAAGGGAAAGTGATGCCCCACTGGAAATCATTTTCAATAATCTTCCCCAAATCCCTTAAAGTGAGTAAGAGATGTTAGGCAGATGCCATTGCATGTAGCAAAACACAGTCCCCCTTGATTTGAAGGACCAAGTTTAGTTTTAGCCAAGTTATTTTACACAAGACACAGCAGAATTCAGAATTAGCCTAAAAAAGATGACCCAGGTAAGAAGAACAACTACCAAAAAAGCTTGGATATGCTGTTCTGGAGAGAGTTGTTAACACGTAATAAGTTCAACAATCTATACATGGTGATATGGTTTAGCTCTGTGTCCCCACCCCAATCTCATCTTGAATTGTAGTAATCCCCATGTGTTGTAGAAGGGACCTGGAGGGAGGTGACCAAATCATGGGGGTGGATGTTTCCCATGCTGTTCTCATGATAGTGAATATGTCTCATGAGATCTGATGGTTTTATAAAGAGGAGTTTCCCTGCACATGCTCTCTGTTGCCTGCCACCATGTAAGACATGAATTTGCTCCTCATTCACCTTCTGCCATGGTTGCAAGGCCTCTTCAGCCATGTGGAACTGTGAGTCCTTTAAACTTCTTTCCTTTATAAGTTACCCAATCTCAGGTATGTCTTTATTAGCAGTGTGAGAACAGACTAATACAATGGACTCCAAAGAACTGGAGTGAATAATTATTATAGAGATAATTGCTGCACCTTAGCTATACCTTGAATGACTTACCATGAGTATGGCTATTATGAAATACTATCTCTGTAAACTCTAACCCTAAAAATAGGGCAATGATGTCAAAGTTAACAACTGGTAGAAGACTCATCGATGAATAACTAGTCTTGAACAGAAGGGGGAAAGAGTTGAAAGCTAGCCAGTGCGGCCTTTCCCCTGTATTCTCATCTTATTCTTACCCTGCTTAGGCACTTGTGGGGCTTCACAGGACCTCTCAGAAAGGACCATGTTCAGGAACACTGTTTTCCTACCAGCCAAATATTTTTTAATTAATTTAAGATTGAGTGTCTGACCCTCTGACTTTCCAATAACAGGGTTGAGCTGTGTTTTGCTTGTTTGTTTGTTTTTAGAAAATAGAAAAACAGAGAAACTACACATGTATAAGGAGACCTACTCACTTCACAGGACATCTGTAGTAAAAAGACCATCGGAATACAATTACTTAAACTAGTGAATTTTTTTCAAATTCAGGTACAGAAATTAGGGTGAAACAATTGGCTGCTTGTGAAAATACACACAGCATTTTCCTGTAAGTTAGACCCAAAGACAACATATATTACTGATGGAAATATCAAAATAACACCTAAAGAAGTACACTAACCAGAACGATACCTTTTGATTTTTCAAATATTCCACATTCTCCATAATAATGTATTTCTTTGTTTTTATTTCAAAAAAACTTTATACTAGGGAAAACTATTTTAAACTAAAATGATTTACTTTCTAAAAGCATTTGATTAAGTCTACAAACACTTAACGTGAATAGAATTTTAATTATAAAAACTAGCCAGCAATTTCCTATGATATTAAAAAATATGCTCCTCGGCATTTGCTTTCAAGTCACACCACACAAAGCCAATCTCTTGCTAATGCTTTAATGCACCTTCCACTTGTTCTATTACCAGCCACTGAAACCACTGGGATGTGTGGGAGGAACTGGGGAGGAACTTCACATGCACAAACTTTTGGAAAATTAGACTCAAAAGTTGACTCATGAACAAGTATTTACTGAATAACATTTGTCTGGTACTTTACCAGCCAATGGCTAAGGATGAGAAATACCTAACTCTAGACACAGCAAAGGGATCATGTGGAGAAGTGGTTGGTGATCTGAAATGAAAAAGAAGGTGGAGTAGTTACCAGAAATAGCAGCATAATCATAACCACAGCAGGAATTGAGTTATTATAGGTGCAAAAATGGAGGCTCAGAGGTGCCAAGTAATTTGTCCAAGGTTGGCGGGAGGGTCACACACAAAAATGTGACAGATTCAGGATTCAAAACACCCAAAATTAGTGTTTATACATAACTAGTTAGAATTTTCCATGCCATGTGAGACTGAAGCATCCTTTATGAGAATCCTGCTTCAAGACATGAAGACAGTGCCTAGCTATTTCTTGGGCTGCAAAGAAAGGATTGGATGGTTGAACAACTATCTATCGCTTAATGACCATCCACTATGAGTGTAGCACTATATATATATTATTTTATTTTATTATTATTATACTTTAAGTTTTAGGGTACATGTGCACAATGTGCAGGTTAGTTACATATGAATACATGTGCCATGCTGGTGTGCTGCACCCATTAACTCGTCATTTAGCATTAGGTATATCTCCTAAAGCTATCCCTCCCCCCTCCCCCAACCCCACAACAGTCCCCAGAGTGTGATGTTCCCCTTCCTGTGTCCATGTGTTCTCATTGTTCAATTCCCACCTATGAGTGAGAATATGCGGTGTTTGGTTTTTTGTTCTTGCGATAGTTTACTGAGAATGATGATTTCCAATTTCATCCATGTCCCTACAAAGGACAGGAGCTCATCATTTTTTATGGCTGCATAGTATTCCATGGTGTATATGTGCCACATTTTCTTAATCCAGTCTATCATTGTTGGACATTTGGGTTGGTTCCAAGTCTTTGCTATTGTGAATAGTGCCGCAGTAAACATACATGTGCATGTGTCTTTATAGCAGCATGATTTATAGTCCTTTGGGTATATACCCAGTAATGGGATGGCTGGGTCAAATGGTATTTCTACTTCTAGATCCCTGAGGAATTGCCACACTGATTTCCACAAGGGTTGAACTAGTTTACAGTCCCACCAACAGTGTAAAAGTGTTCCTATTTCTCCACATCCTCTCCAGCACCTGTTGTTTCCTGACTTTTTAATGATTGCCATTCTAACTGGTGTGAGATGGTATCTCATTTTGGTTTTGATTTGCATTTCTCTGATGGCCAGTGATGGTGAGCATTTTTTCATGTGTTTTTTGGCTGCATAAATGTCTTCTTTTGAGAAGTGTCTGTTCATGTCCTTTGCCCACTTTTTGATGGGGTTGTTTGTTTTTTTCTTGTAAATTTGTTTGAGTTCATTGTAGATTCTGGATATTAGCCCTTTGTCAGATGAGTAGGTTGCGAAAATTTTCTCCCACTTTGTAGGTTGCCTGTTCACTCTGATGGTAGTTTCTTTTGCTGTGCAGAAGCTCTTTAGTTTAATTAGATCCCATTTGTCAATTTTGGCTTTTGTTGCCATTGCTTTTTGTGTTTTAGACATGAAGTCCTTGCCCATGCCTATGTCCTGAATGGTAATGCCTAGGTTTTCTTCTAGGGTTTTTATGGTTTTAGGTCTAACGTTTAAGTCTTTAATCCATCTTGAATTAATTGTTGTATAAGGTATAAGGAAGGGATCCAGTTTCAGCTTTCTACATATGGCTAGCCAGTTTTCCCAGCACCATTTATTAAATAGCGAATCCTTTCCCCATTGCTTGTTTTTCTCAGGTTTGTCAAAGATCAGATAGTTGTAGATATGCGGCATTATTTCTGAGGGCGCTGTTCTGTTCCATTGATCTATATCTCTGTTTTGGTACCAGTACCATGCTGTTTTGGTTACTGTAGCCTTGTAGTATAGTTTGAAGTCAGGTAGCGTGATGCCTCCAGCTTTGTTCTTTTGGCTTAGGATTGACTTGGCAATGCGGGCTCTTTTTTGGTTCCATATGAACTTTAAAGTAGTTTTTTCCAATTCTGTGAAGAAAGTCATTGGTAGCTTGATGGGGATGGCATTGAATCTGTAAATTACCTTGGGCAGTATGGCTGTTTTCACGATATTGATTCTTCCTACCCTTGAGCATGGAATGTCCTTCCATTTGTTTGTATCCTCTTTTATTTCATTGAGCAGTGGTTTGTAGTTCTCCTTGAAGAGGTCCTTCACATCCCTTGTAAGTTGGATTCCTAGGTATTTTATTCTCTTTGAAGCAATTGTGAATGGGAGTTCACTCATGATTTGGCTCTCTGTTTGTCTGTTGTTGGTGTATAAGAATGCTTGTGATTTTTGTACATTGATTTTGTATCCTGAGACTTTGCTGAAGTTGCTTATCAGCTTAAGGAGATTATGGGCTGAGACGATGGGGTTTTCTAGATAAACAATCATGTCGTCTGCAAACAGGGACAATTTGACTTCCTCTTTTCCTAATTGAATACCCTTTATTTCCTTCTCCTACCTAATTGCCCTGGCCAGAACTTCCAACACTATGTTGAATAGGAGTGGTGAGAGAGGGCATCCCTGTCTTGTGCCAGTTTTCAAAGGGAATGCTTCCAGTTTTTGCCCATTCAGTATGATATTGGCTGTGGGTTTGTCATAGATAGCTCTAATTATTTTGAGATACGTCCCATCAATACCTAATTTATTGAGAGTTTTTAGCATGAAGGGTTGTTGAATTTTGTCAAAGGCCTTTTCTGCTTCTGAAACTATTCCAATCAATAGAAAAAGAGGGAAACCTCCCTAACTCATTTTATGAGGCCAGCATCATCCTGATACCAAAGCCGGGCAGAGACACAACCAAAATAGAGAATTTTAGACCAATATCCTTGATGAACATTGATGCAAAAATCCTCAATAAAATACTGGCAAACTGAATCCAGCAGCACATCAAAAAGCTTATCCACCATGATCAAGTGGGCTTCATCCCGATCAAGTGGGCTTCATCCCTGGGATGCAAGGCTGGTTCAATATATGCAAATCAATAAATGTAATCCAGCATATAAACAGAACCAAAGAAAAAAAACCACATGAGTGTAGCACTATATTAAGTCCTGGGCAGAACCAGAGCAAATCCAAGAGAAGAGAATTGATCATCAAGTACACTGCATACTTAAGAGTTTTCATTACTAAATATTGGTTGAATTAATGCAGACAAATACATGAATGCCCTGATAAATATTGTGACCCTTAGACCCTAAGTTTTCTAGAATATGTCTATATGGTGGAATCATTATTGCCATTTTTGAAGAAGCAGTTTCCAAAGTACTTCCTGGAGGATCTCTCTCTCTCCCTTTTCTCTCTCTCTCTCTCTCTCTTTCTCTTTCACACACAAACACACACACACACACACACACACACACACACAGCAGCAGCAGCAAGGTGCTCATCTATTCCCTTAGACACAAGTCCTGCCCTAGACTTGGCAAATTGCCTTTTCTGCCCAACCCACAGTATTGAGAATCTGAAGTGAAGTGGAAAATAAGAGCTGAAATAGAGCCATATTTGGGCACAAACCTTGAGAGATGAAAAGAAGGAAGGAAGTAGAGGATGTGCAAGCAGAATTAGAGAGTGTTAAATACGAAGTGTTCTCAGACAGAGGGAGAACAGCAAGCAAGCTGCAACCTGTCGGCCCAAGGGAACAAATTCCAGGTGTTCAGCGCTTCTCATTCCCCGCAACCCCACATCCCTTCATCTTTCTGTCCTTCTGCTAGGCTAATAAGACCAAGGAGACACCCTCACGTCTTCCCAGTGTGTTTGGGTGGGATTATTTCCCATGATGACAGACAGGCTTTGTGCTAATGCTCCAGCACTGTCATGAGGAAAGATAGGGGACACTCAAACTTATTCCCTGCCACTTTCAAGCCCTGGCTGCAATCATTTTTTCCTACAAAATAACCTCAACTGAGAGAGAGCAAGAGAAGGATACCTCCTTAATCAGGACAAGAAAGATGCTCTAGAGGTAAATGGGAAGTGTTCAAGATTATTGGGGAAAATGTGTACATCCTGGGAAGACATTCCACTGTCAAATGCTGGCCAGGAAGGAGAGGAATAAAAAGACATGGGAAGAGAGAAGGGAACGTAGGCTTTCCTTCTGGTGGCTCTCTGTGAGGTGGAAGTTAGACTGCCTCCACGAAACAGAAGAGTCGGCAGGAAAGGCTTCTTAGAATTCTGCCGCCCAGCGCTGACAGCCCTCGGCATATTTTCAGCACGAGGTACATTAACAAATAAGGAAAAGCATCCTCCTGGGCCTCTAATAACATTTACTTCATTCATCATTTCCTCAGAGGAATAGTAGGCTGTGTATTTTTTTATTCCCGGTGTGTCCTGCCTAAGAAATAAATACTAGCCAAGATCACCTGCTTACTTCTGTGTATTTTACAACCCTCCTTAAGCTTTGTTTGTCTTTCCCCAGTTCCTATTCTTCTTTCTATGCACTCCATACTATGTAGGTCTAAATAAAAGGGGCACAAATTCTAAGACCCCGAGCTGGAATCACTGACTCTGCAGTGTCAAGACGTCTCAAATCTTTTATGGAAGGAGGCAGAGTAAGAATCCAGAATAAATAAATTGAATGGGCTATGCAGTGTAGACTGAAACTAGGATAAATAAGCAAAAATGAGAGTGGTTCCCAGGCCTCCAGGGATCCTGTCAGCCCTAGACATGTGCCAGGTGTTCTGGACTCTTCTATTGGCCTGAGTTAGCTTGAACCTCAATATGGGCTCCCGTCCTGGGCTGCACAGAACACCTGGCAACTCAAGCTTTATTCTCGGCCCTATGGTGAGGACTATCCTCCCAAGGCCCAGGTCTGCTGATTAACAAAGTAGCTCCAAGTTCTGAGTTCCCTCTTCTCCATTTGTCCATCAGCCTCATTGGTGTTATAATCCCAGCAAACTCCAACAGGATCTATGCTGGGAAAAATAATTTTAAAGTTGATCTTTCCATGCAACTTCAAGGGTCTTTTTGCCACAACTCTCAGCCCCTATGATACTTTAAGCTCCCACCACGCACTCGGCCAGAGGGGCAGTGGGAAGCCCCCACTGACCCCAAAGGACAGACCTCACCCAGCTCTATCTGATGCTTCCTCAAGAGAAATGGAAAAACTAGGTGGAGCACACGCTCTGGGCTGCAAAGCCTGAAGCTGCAGTAATGACATAGAAAAAATGATTATGAAATAAAATGTTAAATGGAAAACAGAGTATGGAACTGTGCCTACATTACAGCTATAACTACATAAAATGTATTTATTTAGTAAGAGAACATAGAACATGAAAAACACAAAAATGGCCATTTATTGCGATGGTGAGTCACGGGCAAAGTTTTACTTTCATTTCAATTTTCATTAACATATTGCAATGTTATTTGTGCAACACAGAAAATAAATGAACCGTCTGATCCCACGAAGCTACGTACTACAGTTACTCCTGTTGTGAGCTGAACTTGCAGTTCAGTTTCCTCAAACCTACACCTATACTGACCTACTGTAAATGTAACTAACTCACCACCCCACCAATCCTGCAACTTTAACTACTGAAATAACTGACTTCAAACCCCCTCATATTCATGCTGCTTCTTGCTGCCATAGTGTGGATATTGTCCCTCCAAACCTCATGATGAAGTCTGATCACCAGTGTTGGAGATGGGCCTCATGGGAGGTGTTTGGGTCATGGGGGGTGGATCCCTCATGAATGGCTTGGTGCCATCATCCTTGTGGTAATGGCTGAGTTCTAACTCTTAGTTCCCATGGGAGCTGGTTGTTAAAAACAGCCTGACACCTCTGATTCCCTCTTGCCTCCTCTCTTACCATGTCCTCTCTGCACATGCCAGCTCCTGTTCACTGCCACTCCTGCCACGAGTGGAAGCAGCCTGAGGTCCTCATCAGAAGCAGATGCTAGTGTCGTATGTCTTGTGCATCCTGCAGAACCATGAGCCAAATAAACCTCTTTTCTTTATAAATTACACAGCCTCAGGTGTTCCTTTATAGCAACACACAACAGATCAAGACACTTGCCTTATCCCAACATTTATACCAGAACAGAGGCATTTGTCCTCTGCTGCCTTTTCAACCCACCAAGGGTTGAAATGCCAAGGCTTTCGTGAGTGAGTGTGCAGATATCAAGCCATATCTGCATCATTTATTAATGACCAGACTTACTTAACATCATGTTAATTTCTATACAGACCATTTTAAATCAGTTCAAGAAATGCTTGAATATGTTGCCATGTTCTCAGAATGGTACCAGTACCACCAGGGACCTGAAAGAACTAAAAGGAGAAAGATTTCTGTCTTTGGCCATATCCATCAAGTAAGGGAGAGCTCATAGTTGAATGTGGGGGACAGTGGCAGGGTTGCTGGTCTTAGAAGACTGGGAAGAGGTGAGCTGTGCTGTTGCAAGGTGCACTATTTCCCCCATGATGTCTGTGGAAGCTGAATCACTTTTGTAACTTAAGAACCATGCTCTTTATGGCATCACTTTTAAGAAGGACTACAGAACAATGCTGTAAATCATTCACTGGGACACACTGTATGGTAAGAAAGGAGAGAGAGGGAGGAAAGTAGACGGCAGAATAATATTTATGAAAGGATTAAAAAAATAAGTAAACCGGAAAGTGAGTAATTAGGTTGAGAAAGAATTTGTATAAAGACAGCTCCAGAAAGATTTACAGCAGTAATCCCTAATTTTTTTCACCACCGAGGGCCACCTTTACTACTTTTCTCAGTAGGATGCACATCTTCACAAATTTTTGTCTACTAATCACAAAACATCTATTGCGTACTGATTAATTTGTTTCATCATTTGGGTTCACTGACAACATCCAGAATTGCCAATCAGAGCTTTTAATCATTACAAACTAACTTATGTTAACACAACTGATGTAAAATGATTTTCTCCCCCCAAAACGATGACTTTGCATTTAGTCATCCCAGCCTCACTGCAGATTCCCACTAAGCTTTTTGAAATACTGAAAATAGCTCAAGAGTCAATTATGATCAGAGTATTGAAAGGTATAGGGACCCTGGGGTTGAAATTCTCAAGGTCTGCCGTAGCCAAGAAGACCAGGGACCCGCAAAAGCAGACTCAGGTTGGAAGGCACTGGGCTTGCATGTGGTAAGTTTGCTCAGAGGAAGAGGATTATGAGTCCTATGGAAAGACTCACAGGCATTAGTGGGCATCAGCAAATGGCTAGGAGGCCCAGGAAGTCCAGTGAGAGGCAGATGGCACCTCTACGTGGATGAGTTTTATTTCTTAGTACCTCCTCACATCTATCTTTCGTTATCTTTCCTGGTGTTACCTTCGCTAATCACATTAAGAAGTTGTTGGTCTCTGTTTTTTCCTTTTTTTTTTTTTTTTGAGATGGAGTTTTGCTCTTGTTGCCTAGGCTGGAGTGCAATGGTGCAATCTCAGCTCGCTGCAACCTCCACTTCCCAGGTTCAAGCAATTCTCCTGCCTCAGCCTCCCAGGTAGCTAGAATTACAGGTGCCTGCCTTGGCCTTGCAAAATGGTAGGATTACAGGTTTGAGCCACTACGCCCACCTGTTGGTCTCTTTTTAATGAAACAGTGACTTAGTATTCTTGTAGAGAATTGACATATGTAAGCCTGCCATTATTGCTTTCAAATTTAGATCCCTCTGTTCCTGCTCTGGGCTCGACTGTAACCTGTATACTAGAAAAGGAAAAAAGAAAGACATTTGTATATGTCTTATTTCAACTCCCAGTAGCCTCACAAACTGGACTGTGGACTAACAGAAGTACAGAACTGGAAAGGGAAGAACTCTGTGCCCTGCAGGAGCCCACTGTTGGCCCGGAGTGTGTGTGACAGCAGGGTGGAAGAGGAGTGGTTCCAGCAGAGAACAGGGAACAGGGAGGTACGACTGGGAAGGACAGACCTTCTGTAGGCAAAGCCCATGCATAAAGAAGCTTTTAGGAATGAATTAGGTTTGATCTACAATGAAATAACTACTACAGGAGCCATGTCCCAAGGAGTAGTCTATAACCAGTAAAGGAGAAGCCCTATAGTAAAAGACTAACGTTCTTTCACTTTGTTTAACCCAGAAATTCCCAAGGTAATTTAACCACAGAAATCTTCTATGCGATATGTAGTAACACTCCCTCACATCCCATTAAGTCAATGGAAACAGTGAGCAGAGGGTTTAGAATGTGGAAAATCCTCATGTTGACTAAATGGTCATTGGAATGCTGTGACCAGAGATACTGACTTAGCAACTCAGAAGATTCAGAGGATGAGACATAGACACTCAATAAGACAGTGTAGAAAAAGAGAATTCAGATGAGACGAGGAACTTAAATTCTTGTTGCTATTTGGGTACCCTCAAAAAACAAAAACAAAGAGAGAAAGAAAAGTGAAAAATGGAGAGGAAACTGTCAGAGAATGTGCATGAGTTTATTGTGACTGCTATAACAAAGGACCACAAACCGGCGGTCTTAACACAACAGAAGCTTATTCTCTCAGAGTCCTGAAGGCCAGAAGCCCAAAGTCAGTATCACTGGACTGCAATAAAGGTGTCAGCAGGGTCATATTCTGTCTGGAGGCTCTAGGGGAGAATCCTCATGCCTCCTTCAGTTCCTGGTGGCTGCTGGCTTGGGTGGTGGCTGCATCACTCTTCTCTTCAAGACCAGCATCTTCAAAGCTCTCTCTGCTCTGTCTTTGCATGACCTATCCTATGGGTGTGTTGTCAAATCCCTCTCTGCCTGTCTCTCTTTAGCTCTCTTAAAGACACTTGTGAATGCATTTAGGGCCCACCAGGAAAATCCAGGAAACACTCTCCATCTTAGGACCATTAAATTAATCACACCTGCAAAGATATACCCCTCCTCTTGAAGAATTAGGACATGAATATCTTTGCAGGCCATATTTTAGCCTACCATAGAGGGCAATTAAAATGATTTGGAAATAAAGGAAGAAGAAGCTTTTAAGAAGAGAGTGTGCTATTGTGAATAGTGCTGTAATGAACATATGCGTATGTGTATCTTTATAACAGAATGATTTACATTCCTTTGGCTATATACCCAGAAATGGGATGGCTGGGTCAAATGGTATTTCTGGTTCTAAAACTTTGAGGAATTGCTACACTGTCTTCCACAATGGTTGAACTAATTTAAATTCCCACCAACAGGGTAAAAGCATTCCTATTTCTCTGCAACCTCAGCAGCATCTGTTGTCTCTTGACTTTTTAATAATCGCAATTCTGACTGGCATGAGATGGTATCTCATTGTGGTTTTGATTTGCATTTCTCTAATGATCAGTGATGTTGAGCTTTTCAGTGGGGGGGAACATTAGGGAAAAGAGCTAATGCATGCTGGGCTTAATATCTAGGTGATGGGTTGATAGGTACAGCAAACCACCATGGTACACTTTTACCTGTGTAAGAAACCTGCACATCCGCACATCCGGCACACGTGCCCTGGAACTTAAAAAAAAAAAAAAAAACAAGAAAGTAATTATTTTTTTAAAAAAGAAGAAAGTGTGGTCAAGGTCATCATGCTGCAAAGATAATAAGAAAGGGAAGAATTTAAAGAGCAGCTCATATCGAGCAGTTAGAAGGCTGCTGATGGACATGGTCAGAGCATTCCAGTGCATTCCACTATGGGGGAAGCCCCACTTGAGAGTGTTGAGGAGAAATGGACCATGAGGAAGTATAAATAGAAACAGAGAGTTTCATACATTTTTAAAAGCTACATAAAAACATAGTTACATTTATGAAGTATAATTTGGTGATGGATTGCAATCACTACATTATAAAGATAAATTTGAAAAGAAAATGAACTTCGGAGTTAGTTTTGTGCTTCTTCTTCACTTGCGAACATCTCTGAATAATATTTTCCCAATGCTTACTGCCCTCAGGTTTTCATGTCTCCTCTAATTAGTGCTCTATTTTTCCTGCTCACAGTTCCCTGCCTTCTTCCTTTCTTTCTCTTACATCCTGTTCTCTGTTCTCCCACTAGACCTGGCCTTCATCCATTTCTCAGTAAGGAAACCTGAGTGTCCAGCCCTTATCTAAGCACAGTTGATAAAGAGTCATGGATATAACAGAAAGAAGAGGATTTCCAAGAGCAAGAAATATTTTATTATATATTTGTTAGAAGGGCTAAAATCAATGATAAATAGGAAGGGAAATAAGGAAGAAAATAGGGTTTAAAACATTTGGCACCAACCACAGATAGACATACATAATCAAGTATGTAGAAACATGGAAGAATTAGCCAAAAATAATATGGACAATAAGCAAAATAAGATTTGTACAAATCTTCTAAAGAATTCATGTCTTTGTTACTGTTTTTTCCCATTTGACTTATATATTTATTCCCAGAATAAAATGAAAACACAGTGGCATAGTGGGGCTCAATTTATCTCATCTCATAAATACCTTATGATATCTAAGAGGTTAAGGGCTTTGGAATCCCAAATCTTTTGGGACAGAGGACAGGAGAGTTTATAAGAAAATTAGAAGTCCTGTGTCTTTAAATGTTTATAAGCAGCTTTATTCATAATAGCCCAAATTAGGAACCACCCTAATGTCCATCAACTGACTAATGGATCAACAAATTATGGTGCATCCATATAATTGAAAAATACTTAGCAGTAAAGAGGAATGAACTGCTGATACACACAACAGAATCAATGGATCTCCAAAACATTATGCTGAGTGAGGGAAGGCAGACTCAAATGCACACATTCGTATGATTTCATTTACAGAATGGATAAGAAAGATAAATGTAACCTATGCTGAAAGGAAATACATCTGTGGTTGCCTGTGGCCAGGGGCATCAGGGGTAGTAACAAGAAAGAGCACAGGGAACATTTTGAGAATGATGAAAATGTTCTATAGCTTGATGCTGGGGTGGCTACGTTTGTATAAATTTGTCCAAGCACACCAGAAGGTACATTTAAAATGGGTGCCTTTTATTATATGCAAATTATACCCCAATGAAATTGATTTTTTAAAGTGTGTGTTATCTTTTTGAGGGGGTACTAATATTCATTCCTTAGAATAATATTCATGTTTTTTTCTCTCTGCTTTGGAAAAGATGAAGTAGGTTGGCTACCCTGAGACTAACTGGAGTGAGGGAGCAAATATTCTATCCCCAGGGACCTGGGAAAGGCAGCACAGTCAGCATAGCACACTTCATTCGTCCACATCCTCCATTCTCTGGGGATAAGAGAGCTTTGTTAACTGAGAAGTCAGTGTATCCAAAAATCACCCACAAAGAGGCAATAAATAGATGCAAAAACACAAAACATCCACAAAATATGGAAAGGGCAAATTCACAAATTTCTACTTTCATAGAAAGAACAACAGTGATCACTCATGCCAATAATGGTAACAATGCTATCAAGCAGTCCCATCCGAAGTCCTCATGCCAATCATCTGTTCTGGCATTGCAGTGATCTATATAACTGAAAAACCCTGTTGCTACACAGCACTGAGAAATACTGAATCAAATATAGTAAACATTCCTTTCATGCAAAGCTGAATTTGTAAGACACTCAGAAAAATTATCAGGGGCAAATAAGAAACGAAAAGCCAAGCAAGGACAGAAAATGAGGATTTGTGTTTGCAGAAGGTGGGAAGTGTAACTAGAGCTACCTGCATTAATCCAGACCCCTAAATGCCCAAATGGATGAGACGGTCAGGGGAAGAGGGCATGCCTGTTGTCACAGGTTCTTCTCCCTGGAAATAAGACTATGAGGCAGAGCTTAGCATGCAGGACAGTTTACTAGTGGTGCTCTTAGGATTGATGCCTGTGTGGGGAAGAATGGGAGCAGGATTGGGCAGGAGAAGCAGAACTGCCACATACCCATGGCAAGGCCTTGTCCAGCCCCACAGGGAGTTCTGAAGCTGGACAGTACTTCAGAGTTGTCCTCAGGTGGGGTCCAGGGAGCCCAGCTTTTGTACCATTGAATGCAGGCTGCTCCTAAGAAACAGGCCTGACCTTTAGCTAAGGAAAATCCCCAGGCTTCAGCTGTCAGCGGGTAGAACTCCCAGTAACTGGGAAAATAAGTCCTTCAGGCCTGAAAGGCAGTGTATAAGTGAAGAAATGTGAGTAATCTCTGTGGTTTCTATCAGTGCCAATTTCCTGGGATTGTGGAGCACATTCTGGCATATCTTACAGTGTTTTAGTTTGTCTCTCTCAGCCTGAGTAGACCAAAAATAAAAAATAAATTCCTAGAACTATTAACAAAAATGTCTGCCCTCACATGGGTTTCAGGTTTTAATTCACACTATTTAATTGGTCTGTGAACTCCCAAGCAAATGAATCACTTTAAAGCATTTTCAGACTAGTAATACCCTGGGGTATCTGGCTTAAGTAAACAAAAATCTCTCTGGAAGAGTACATATTCAACCCAGGAAGCAAAAGAGTTCCATAGACAGGGCCCCAAAAAGCATGAGCTTGCAATACAAAATAAAGACATGGAAAAGTAATCTGCCATAAGCAAAAATAACAAGTAGAAAAATTAAAGGAGGCAGAGGCGGGAGAATCGCTTGAACGCGGGAGGCGGAGGTTGCCATGAGCCAAGATCAAGCCACTGCACTTCAGCCTGGGTGGCAGAGTGAGACGCCATCTCAAAAAAAAAAAAAAGAATTCAACACCAAAGAAACCCATGTAATCAACTTTTAAAAAATAGATCATAAAAGGCATATCTGTTGCTTAAGGCATTAAGAATTATTTATAAAATTAAAATGAAAAAAGCAACAGAAACCATTAAAGAGATCAACATATATGAAAAAACTGTTTATATATTATTGAAAAATTTGAAATTTCTTTCTCTTTAGAGAATACCTATTTTATTATCTATTTTAAAAAATTGTATCTAAACCAGATACAGAGAAAGAGAACTCTGGAAACCAGACAATAGAACTAAGAAAGAAAGCACCCAGAATAAAGAGATGAAAAAATTTAAAGAGGGGTTAAAGACTTGGGACATCAAATGAGAAAACTCAAACTTTATTAATTAGGAGACAAGAGAAGAATTGGGCAGAGGAAAAGTTGCAAGTGATAATGACTAAGGATTTTCTAGGAATGATGAAATATATGAATCCTGTGATTCACAGAAGTAAAAGATTCAACACAGGAAAAGTGTGCCTACACATCACCAAAACAAAAAGATCTTAAAAGCAAGCAGAAGAAAAAAGAACCTATCTAAAACAGAAAAATAATGAAAAGAAGGGTAACCAACTTTTCAACAGCAACAATGAAGGTAGAATGCAGCAGTGAACTTCTATTTTATTTTTTTTAAATTTATAAACAGCTAAACTACGTTTTAAAAATTTGAGGATGAATATGACCCACCAGTTGCACTTTTGGGCGTTTGTCCCAGAGAAACTTATGTCCACATAAAAATTTGTACATGAATGTTCATAGCCATTTGTAATAGCCAAAAACTGTTAACTACCCAAATGTTCTTCAATATGTGAATGGTTAAACAAACGATCATATATCCATGCCACGGAATACTACTCAGCAACAAAAAGAAGTGAGCTATGGATACATACAAAAACCTGAATCTCCACAGAAGAATGCTGAGTGAAAAAGCCAATCTCGAAAGGCTACAAACTGCATGACTTCATTTATATAACACTGTTGAAATAAAATTAGAGAGAGAACATGGAGATCTGGCTGCCAGGGGGGTTAGGGATGGAGGGGTAAGGAGTGGGTATCTTTAAAGGGTAGCATAAGGGAACCTGCGAAGATAGCACAGGTAAGTATCTTGACCTAGTGTAGTGTCATGGAGTTATCCATCTGACAATAATTGAAAGGGGATTGGAGGGGAGAGAGAAAGAGAGAGAGAAATTAGTGTGTATCTAGGGAGTGAAATCTGAATGAACTCTAGTTTGTATCAACACCAATTTCCTGGAATTGAAGCTGTACTATAACCGAAGAAGATATTCCATAGAGGGAGGCTGGGTGAAGGGTGCACAGGACCTCTCTGTGCTATCCTTGCAGCTTCCTGTAAATCTACAACTAAAACATAATAATAAAAATTATTATACTAATAATTTTAATAATAAAGTATATTAAAATAATAAAATAATAACAACATAGCATTAAAAACATAGCATAGAAGAAATCAAAGTAGAATTAAAGCATGTTTAGAACAGAAAAAAAATATTTATTTACTACTAGCAGATCGTCATTGATGATCTATTTCCAGAGAAAGGAAATATTGGATATATTTATATTGACTGGATATATTTCTTGAGAAAGGAGAATTATCTTAGAGGGAAAAAAGCAATTATGAACTAAAAAACTTGTATACATGTAAATGAGTTTAACAAGAATGGACTACTTCAAAGAATAACAATAATACTATCTAATTTTGAGTGTTATGATAATAAGGTAGAAATGAAGCACTATAGTAACATGTAAGATGGAAAAAGATTTATCCAAAATAAAGAATTTTAAGATTTATACAACAGCCTAGAGGAAACTAGAGATAATAATTGATGTTAGACTTTATTCGCTCAATTATTCACATTAACATTTAAGGGGTAAACGCTAGGAAAAAAACACGAACAAACCAAAAGAAGCCAGGAGAGGAGGGGGAAAGGAGGAGTTAAAGGAACAAAATAAGTTAGTAGAAATAAATCCAGTTATTCATGATCATACTAAATATAAATGGAATAAATTTCCCAGGTAAAGATTAGAGATCATCAGATTTGATAATTATAATAAATGCATACACAAAAAAAATAAACTCCAGTTACGTTCTCTTTATGGAAGTCCCAATGAAACATAAAGACACAGAAAGTTCGAAAGTAAAAGGAAAATGTTAACCAAAACAAAGTTAGTGGAGCCATATTTATATCAGACAATAAAAATCTTCAGGTAAATCATAATCAGTATTTTTGTATTAATGAAAAACTTGAAACAACCTAAATATTTATCATTAAAATTATAATAAATACAGGAATACTATGCAATCATTAAAATCATTGAACTAGAACAACATATATAAATGTAGAGATGTCCAAAACTTAATTGTGTAGGGGAAAAAGGCAAATTGCTATAAAATAAACTATGAAATTTTTAATATAAGGTTAAGAAACAAGTAACAAATTTTTCAGCCTGTTATATTGCCAGTGATATTTGCCTTCCTTTATATAGCTCCATGCCCATGGAAACTGCAAAATTCACTCATCCCTTCATCCAGGTCTCTATCAGGAGAGGGGGAAAAAAGTATTTGAATAGTGAAAGGCTGGGCCAACTGGACTCAATAGAAGGTAAAATTAATCTCAGATGGCCAGGGTAGTGAGGGTTTCGTCGCCAAGGACTGCCAGTACAGCTTGGAAATAACGGTTCCTTCAAAGCAATTTCAACATTTCAGATTCTGCCTGAAAAGAACCAATCAGGAAAAAGTAATTATCTGTGGGGGGGAAAAAGGCAATGTTAAAGAAACAAAGTTACAAGCAACAAGCTCAGCAAATAATCAAAAACATATATTCTATGGTCTGAATGTTTGTGTCCCCTGAAAATTCCTGTGTTAAAACTTAATCACCAATGTGATGGTATTAGGATATGGGGCCTTTAGGAGATAATTAGGTTTAGATGAGATCTTGAAGACAGAACCCCCATGAAGAGGATGAGTGCCTCCAGCAAACTCCCTCCCTGTGTTAGTCTGTTTTGTCTTGCTATAAAGAAATACCCAAGGCTGAGTGATTTATGAAGAAAAGAAGTTTATTTGGCTCATGGTTCTGCAGGCTGTACTGGAAACATAGTGCCAGCATCTGCTTCTGGTGAGGCCTCAGGGAGCTTACAATCGTGGCAGAAGGCAAAGGGGGAGCCGGCATATCAGATGGTGAGAAAAGGAGCAAGAGAGATGCAAGGGAGGCAGCAAACTCTTTTTAACAAATGGATCTCATGTGAACTCATGACCACAGGGAGGGCACCAAGCCATTCATAGAGGATCTGTCCCAGTGACCCAACACTTCCCAGTAGGTCCCAGCTCCAACATTTTGAGTCACATTTCAACATGAGATTTGGAGGGGACAAATATCCAAACCATATCACCCTCCCCCTCCACCATGTGAGGACACAGCTAGAAAACACCATCTATGAACCAGAAAGCAGGCCCTCCCCAAACACTGAATCTGCCAGCACCTTGATCTTGGACTTCCCAGCCCCTAGAACTGTAGGAAATAAATGCCTGCTGTTTATAAGCCACCCAGCGTATGGTATCTGTTACAGTAGCCCAAAAGGACTAAGACAAAAATGTTCAAGTTTCCAGTGAACTATTTCACTAGCATTGGCCCATCATACCACCTCCACAGATAAAATTACTATAGTTTATGAGGTAGTCTATGAATAAATAAATATACATATATGTATATATACTTTATGTGTATGTATATAAATATATACGTATTTATATATGTATGTTTATTAACATATATGTAAGTACACATATATGTAACTATACATGTGTAAATATACATATATACTTTATATATGTATATATACTTTATGTGTGTGTATCTATGTATAGAAAGTATAGATTAAAGATGTTTTTTTAAAAGTGAGGGAATGGGTACCAAATGCTGACTGTGATAGGTTTATGTCCTAGGTTACCCCTAAATGCTAAAGCATCTATCTCAGAGCCTGTTGTTCTTGTGCACTGTGACATTTCCCCAGCTGTGTTGGATCCAAACCTTCATACACAGCATAATCATTCACATGTCACTGAGAAATGCTTGAAATTGCAGCTACACAGAGACATGGCTAGTTTAAGGCAAATGGGAAAGCAAGACTGTAAATCTTCTGATTGTTACAAAAGAAAACAGAATTTTGGTTCCCAGGGCCAAGAGAAATTACTCTTCTCCATGCAGCACTCGTGCAGGGCAGCCAGGAGCTTCTCCCTGGGTCCCACGTGTCATCAGAAGTGATCTCGCAACAGAGGCTGACAGTGGCATTTGATAAGTGCACAGGGAACATCAGATCATCCAGGAAAATATCTTTGTCATGGGTAACTTCAGCCCATTCCACATTTGAATATGGCAACTCCATTCCATAATTAGAAGGACAGATTAGGATGGATGGTGTAGTTATGATGAATAATAACGTTATCAGTGCTAGTGGACTTTTTTTTTTTTTTTTTGGCTGTTACTATAATACATTTAGAAGCAAGAGGCTCTGCATGAGGTTTGGCCCCCATCCCTTCTGTCTAGTTGTTCTCTATCCTGTTTTAAAAATTACTCTGGAAGTACAGTCCTATAAAGAGTCTGTTTGGAGTGCAGGTTCTACAGGGAATTTCTTCTAATCCCAGTCTTGAGGAATTATTAAGAAATTGCTTTATTTAACTGATAGCCTGCTGGACACAGGAAGCACAAACTTGGCAAGAGCAAAACAGAATTTCTATTTTCTCCCTCTCCCATGAGTGGGCTGCTTCTGTACTCCTGCTTTGAGTTAATGCCCCTACCCCAACTCCGTTTCTCAAACTGGGGCCCTTGTTGCCATCTTGTCCCTGCCCCTAACCCCATCCCTTCAAGGCACAAATAGATCTGACACTTGCTTCTCCCACCCCATCCTTCCACCCAGGCTCCACTTCACTTCCTCATTTCTCTTCTGAAATATCACAAAACACCCCACAGTGTCTTCTCCCTTCTAGTGTCCTCTTAAATTTTAATTCCACATGACTAAGAGTAAACGATCTATAGGTAAAGTACGGCTATGCCACTTCCCTTGTGAAATCCTTCAGTAGTTTCCATGCCCATGGAATAAAGTCTAAACTCCTCAGATGGACATAAATGTCACTTTTTAACCTGGCCCTGCAAAATTTCTCCAGCTCTACTCCATGCCTTTCATTTTTTACTTCATCCAAACCCAATTGGTCACAATGTTACCAATGTAACTGGGTCTTTGTTCACACTAGACCCTCTCCTGGAATGCTCACTCACATTTCTTCCTCTCCTGACCTTCTCTTGACCTTCAAGACATGCCTCCCGGCCTCACGTCCTCCAGGAATGCTTCCATGACCACCTGGGCTGGTTAAAGGATTGATCTCTCCACCTCAAAGCATGTGGAGAGGATATGCATGGAGCACAGACATGGTTCTCCCTCAGCACACGCCTACTACAGGAAAATGATCTATTAAAATAATTTTCCATAGTATAAGTTCTTTTTTATCTCATTCCACACTGTGACTAGCATGATTAGGAAGCATGACAGGCTTTGAATATATTGAAGGTATACGTTTTGAATATATAAGTTTTGAATATATTGAAGATACACAATTTGAATATGTAGGTTTTGAATATATTGAAGATATACGCCTGGCACTCTTTCAGGCCTTTTCATGCGTGTTTTCTTATTTGCTTAAAATGTTAATTACCTGCTGATCAGGTTCTTCTATTCAATGTGTGGGAAGAACTAACAGGAATCGGGCATTTCCCACCGAAGGCAAAAATAGGTCCGCAGCATCCTCCCCCTGAACACAAGAAGCTCCCCAATGCCTCTCACATTTCAGTATTTCAAAGCAGGTTGAGGTGGAGAAGGGAAGAAAACAGTCGAAATGAAAATGGTTAAGTTAATTAATTGCAAGCTCGCTTGTAGGACCAGCACGTTTATTTAATCAGTTGCCTAGTAACCCTGCCTGTGTATGACGTGAATCTGATTAGCCTGCGGCGGCAGCAAATGATGGGCCATTTTTTTCTCCCAGCCACCAGTGCTCCCAGCCTGCTTCCGTGTGCTTTGAGGTTTGGAAAACCCAAATTCCGCCTCCTGCCCCCTAGCATGGAGGTTGTGAGGTGGAAACAAATTCTCATCCTCTTTTTTCTTGTCTTATCAGTCTCCACAGACCCCACAGCCAAGTGAAGAAGATCTTTGCATGAACACGACCTTTCAGCTGGTGAATCAGATGACCAGAAAAATTCCCCACATCAGTTTTCTTTATGGAGTGACCTACACACCAAGAAGAGCCGCTCAGCTCTCAAAACTGCTGTCATGTAGATACCTACGTGGATAAACAAGTAATGTTTCCACAAAACACTGCAGGTTAGGGCCTCTGCTCATGGCAGGATAGAGAAGGCAAAATAAAGAGGGGGCTTTGGACTGTTGGTTTTGCGTCATGTAAGCTTTTTTAGTGACCTTTAATGGGGAGAGAGACTAGATGCTGAGTTTAATCACGTAAGACCAGCTCAAGACAAACGGCACAGTTTTGTTTCCTGTCTGGAAAGAAAAAAAAAATTACTCATGCACTAGCAGGAACTGAACGCTGAACACTCCTTTGGTGCTAGATTTATTGGAGGATTTGACGACAAGAATTTGCTTGTAGTTTTCCACCTTCCCTGTGCTATTTTCTTAGCCAGTCATTTTGAATACTCCCCTTCCCCATCTTTATCCCCCAACCATTCCTGTTCTTAAGCCAAATAAAAAGAAAACATCACTGAAATAAAGACCCACGGTTCTGCTTTGACACACCATGACCACATTTTTATACTATTATGAGGTAGGGTATTTTTTTTTTTCTATTTGTCAGTCTCTGTGGATAAAAGACTCCATCTTCCATAAAGAATCCCCACCAGAAATCTTTCTAAGCCCTCAATCAGAGAGACACTCTGCCATCGTGCTGAGCAAAAGCTAATCTAATTAAGACAGGATCTGCTAAATTTAATAGCCTGCTATGAATTTTTACAGACATCTGGTAGCTGGAAGTTGGAACAGCTCTCACATATAAAATTCACATTGTCCAGATAACCAATATCGGGGTCAAATATTTTCTTTCTTTGGGGAACTTACATTGTTTTGGTAGGAACGCTATTTTCAAATCGTGATATCCTACAGGTAAATGCACTGGAAAGAAGATTGAGGATTGAAACTTCAAATCTCAGCTTTCCATCTGCACAGTAAAGACAAAGATGCTTCCATTGTCCGGTTTTATGGAGAAATCTGAAAACGTACACACAGGGCTGGCTTCACGGGTGGCGCCCAGCGTTAGCAAGTCCTTGCCTGGTGCGAGGCGCTGCTCTCCTGTCTTGAAATTCTTAATTTTTGAACAAGGACACCTGCATTTTTTATTTCCCACCAGAGCGCACAAATTATGTAGCCACTCCTGTGTATATGAAACTCTTTGCTTGATGCCAGTTCCATAGCAGACACAAAATAATTAGAATGTTCTCCTCCCCATCATACCCTTCAACTTAAAATTATGAAATCCAAGCTAGTAGCTTTTCTTTTGCTTCTGAGCAGGACAACCTCTTGACTGATGGTCTCATCTAAGAACCCCTACTACCACCTCCACCAACGATAGTCATATCTATTTGTATAAAATGAAATTACAGTAATCAAAAAAAGTTAAATTGTATATATGCCTATATGGTTGTATGTGCAAAAATTGCCAGTTATTACAAAAACTGATACTGATTATCTCTGAGGCAGAGAACTGATAACAGAAATTGGGCTCTGGAAAGGGACATATTTTTTACTTCATTTGTCCTTCTTTTTGTCTTGTTTTGTTTTACCGTATGTGTGTTCTGCCCTTGAAAAAATAAAACAAAACCTAATTTTGTTTGACTTAGATCCCAATAATCCTAACTACACAGATATATAAATATACATTCACTCTTAACTGTTCTTTGAAGAGGGAAATCTAAGTAAGGCATAGCTTCCTCAAAATCCAACCAATTGTCCCCAGTTCTAGAAGCATGAGTTACTTATTGAGGTTGGTGGAGATTTCCTCCATCCACCTTATGTTCCATGGTCCACCCCAGAGGGAAAGAGAAGAAAGGGGTGTCAGTGTTCTTTTGGTAGAAATATCACCCCACAAAATTTCCTGCACCTCAGAAAGCTTGTACACCCATGGGAAACTTTCCTGCCACCTGAAAACAAAGAGAAGCAGAGCAGCCCATTAAAAATGTATGTTCTCACAACATTTTGCCCTGGGACAGCGGAAAACCATAGCATCTAATAGGCTTTGAAGTGAAAAGTGCAATTCCTGTGAAATGAGATTTTTCCAAAGTATCTGATGAAGCAGCTCCTTGCCCCCCAACCACGACTGAAGCACAGCATGAATGACCTTGGGCAATGACAAACAATATCACACCCCCAGCAATCAGCCTGGATAATTACCATATTTAATAATTAAGCATGTGGTCTAAATTTGTGTTCAGCATTTCTGTTGAAATCTGGGGGGCATCCACGGGTGACTTGTGTATGAGGGTTAGGTTGACTAGCCCGCTCTCAAAATTCGAGTGAAATAAATCTTCCACTTCTTTTCATCCTAAGAGTTCCAGCCTCCCACAATAGAACCCAAGATAGCTACTAAGAACAGAAACAAGATTCCTCCAGTATTGTTTTATTCTATTGCTCTGGGGCAGCTAGGTATTTAAAACAAACAAGAAAACACATAAAAAAAGAGAGGGGCTACTCGCTCTGTTGTAGAAGAGTTACGCATTGTCTTTTTTTTTTTTTTTTTTTTTGAGTTATGTATTTTCTGACTCTTCTGTCTGAAATGTAGGATATTCAAATATAAGATATTCAGTTCTTTTACTACTCAATCTCTTGTTGCTTCTCTGCTGTGGTCTGTGGGGGACCAGACACAATCTGTGTACCCTAGAAAACACCTGTAGGAGGGGAAAGAAGACCTTGTCCAAGGATACACCAATGACAGTCAGTGGGTATTGGAAAATAAAGATACAAGTCAACCCTGGCTTCTCCCAGTCCTTCCCAGCTGTAGTCCCAGCACTTTTGCAATTCTGGTTTCCCAAAAAATCCCATCCAGGGCATAAACTATATGTGTTGTTGTAGCTGGCACGTTCTGGAGTTAAGCTGAGCTCTCATAAATGTGATTGTTTGTGTGTCTGGGTGACACCTGGCAATGTGGAACTATTTTATGCTTCACTTGGCTTAACATTTGCTTTTCCTCCCCAGCAGTGCCTAGAACATAGAGGGACAGAATAGCTATTTGTTAAAGCAATAAATTGAGAGGGAGATTGGTATCATTCCCTTGAGTGCTAAGAGGTCCAAGGTACTTTTAACTCTAAGCCCCAACTTTTTTATCCTGCCCTTTACTCCTGCTTGTTAGAATAGAGGTGTTAACTGCTTTCTTAGCTTCCTCATAAAGAGACACATTTTAATTGGTTTAGGCCAAGAGTCATAGCATTAACGGAGAAGCGCATGAACTCCAGAGGCCCAAATTTTCTGGAGTAGTATCCCTGAACACCACTTACTTGCTGTGTGACCTTGAACAAGATACTTAGCCTTTCTGTGCTTCAGTTCCCTCATCCGTAAAATGGACATAATACAAGTTCCAATATCATACAATTGCAGTAAGGATAAAGTAGTTAATATTTTAAAGTGCTTAGAATGATGCTAGTACATAACAAGTGCCATATAAATGTCTATGAAATAAATCAAATGTTATTTCTAAGGAAGGGTAATACTAACTCATAGATGGAAAATACAATTCAGCGCAAGAGTGAACTTATATTCATTGGCAGGAGATATCTGAAACCGTGTGAGGAAGGAGTCCAAACCCACAATTGGGCTGCAGTGAAAAGTAGAACCCGGTGATTGATGAATGTCTGCCGTGGATTCTCACAGAGGAAATGGAAAGACATGTGCCCTGTTTCTGCTATTGCTGTTATGCATATGATTTTTGCAACCTAACATATTCCAAGAACCCAAGGAAATGGGTCACAAGACTAGAAAGCTTGAATAAATATTTTTGAGAACACTTATGTGGCAGATATTATTCTAAGTGTCAAAATAAAACGATTAATAAGGCAGCCACTGCTTTCAAGGTATTTACAGACCAGAAGGAGACATGGATTGGCAAATTCTCAGATAAATACTGTGTTCAGTGATGGAGTGTAAACATAGAACTTTGAGAGCACAAAGAGGTGGCAACTAACATACTCCAGTGTGGGACAGAGACAAAAGAATCTTAGGGAGACCCCACTTTCTCATATGAAAGATCATGTACTACTCCAATTTCCCTCATGTTGTATACAACTATACAAATGTACAAAATATATGAAACAGTGTTTTTCAGGCATTAAACAACAATCAGCATGGAACTGTGATCCCCGAGAGAAGAAAAACAAACAAGGTGATTTTTGCAAGTATTCTAACCTAACATCTGCAAGCAGATCCAGGTCAAAGCACTAGGAGGAGCCTGGTTGTATTTTGGAGTGGAGGAGATAGACATTGGAGTCAAAAAAGGCCAAAGCAGCTAGAATTTTAGGTCCAAGTATGAGTAAAAAGGGAGCTTGACAGGGAGAAAGCTAAGGTCTGCAAAGGGCCACCTTGAGTCTGCGGCTGAATACTTCTGTGCTCACAAATTGTAAAATACATTCAAGTATGTAAAAGAAAACATAAGCATGACAAGGAGAAAAAGAGAAGATACATACAAAGTATACAAATTTAAATTCTAATGATAAAGTAAATTATCTGAACTCAAAATTACTTGGGACTGGTTAATATACATCTTTAACTTATCAGAGTTTACCTTCAAATAATATCACACCATTTCATGTACAGTGTACGAATCTTGCAAGAGTATACTTCTAACCCCTCATCTTTGTGTATTGTTACTATATACTGCTACATAGATAATAAACTCCACTATTCATTGCTATTTTTTTCTTTTAGGAATCAATTATCTTTTAAAAGATAAGAAAAGAAATGCCTTTTATATTTACACACGTATTTATTATTTGGGGTACTAATTATTCCTTTTTGTGGGTCCATATAACCATCTGGCATAATTTGCCTTATGCTTAGATAAGTGTTTGTTTTTCTTAGCATTTCTTTTAATGCTTGTATTCAGTGATGAATTATCTCAGATTTTGTCTTAAAGTCTGTATTTTGCCTTCATTTTCAAGAGGTATTTTCTCTGGATATAAAATTCTGTGTTGACATATTTGACTCCCATCACTTTAAAGATGTCTTTCCATTGTTTAATGGCCTGCATAGTTTCAAGTGAGAAATATGCTGCCATTCTTTTTTTTTTTTGTTTCTCTGTACAAAATGTCTTTTCTCTCTGACTGCTTTTTAAAATGTCTCATCATATGTGTTCAGAAAATTTATTATGATATGCCCTTTTGTGCTTTTTCTTTTTAATATTTCTTCTTCTTAGGATCCATTGACCTTCCTGGATCTGTGGATTTTTGGTTTTCATCAATTAAAATAAATTTTCAGGCCTTTCCTTTCAAATATTTTTTCTTCACTCCCTACATCCCACACTTACAGTTTGGTCTTTTTGGTCTTTTTTTTCCTCTGTGTGTTTACTGTCAATAGTTTCTATTGGAGAGGGAGGAGCCAAGATGGCCGAATAGGAACAGCTCCGGTCTACAGCTCCCAGCGTGAGCGACGCAGAAGACGGTGATTTCTGCATTTCCATCTGAGGTACCGGGTTCATCTCACTAGGGAGTGCCAGACAGTGGGCGCAGGCCAGTGTGTGTGCGCACCGTGCGCCAGCCGAAGCAGGGCAAGGCATTGCCTCACCTGGGAAGCGCAAGGGGTCAGGGAGTTCCCTTTCCGAGTCAAAGAAAGGGGTGACGGACGCACCTGGAAAATCGGGTCACTCCCACCCGAATATTGCGCTTTTCAGACCAGCTTAAGAAACGGCGCACCACGAGACTATATCCCACACCTGGCTCAGAGGGTCCTACGCCCACGGAATCTCGCTGATTGCTAGCACAGCAGTCTGAGATCAAACTGCAAGGCGGCAACGAGGCTGGGGGAGGGGCGCCCGCCATTGCCCAGGCTTGCTTAGGTAAACAAAGCAGCCGGGAAGCTCGAACTGGGTGGAGCCCACCACAGCTCAAGGAGGCCTGCCTGCCTCTGTAGGCTCCACCTCTGGGGGCAGGGCACAGACAAACAAAAAGACAGCAGTAACCTCTGCAGACTTAAGTGTCCCTGTCTGACAGCTTTGAAGAGAGCAGTGGTTCTCCCAGCATGCAGCTGGAGATCTGAGAACGGGCAGACTGCCTCCTCAAGTGGGTCCCTGACCCCTGACCCCCGAGCAGCCTAACTGGGAGGCACCCCCCAGCAGGGGCACACTGACACCTCACACGGCAGGGTATTCCAACAGACCTGCAGCTGAGGGTCCTGTCTGTTAGAAGGAAAACTAACAACCAGAAAGGACATCTACACCGAAAACCCATCTGTACATCACCATCATCAAAGACCAAAAGTAGATAAAACCACAAAGATGGGGAAAAAACAGAACAGAAAAACTGGAAACTCTAAAACGCAGAGCGCCTCTCCTCCTCCAAAGGAACGCAGTTCCTCACCAGCAACGGAACAAAGCTGGATGGAGAATGATTTTGACGAGCTGAGAGAAGAAGGCTTCAGACGATCAAATTACTCTGAGCTACGGGAGGACATTCAAACCAAAGGCAAAGAAGTTGAAAATTTGAAAAAAATTTAGAAGAATGTATAACTAGAATAACCAATACAGAGAAGTGCTTAAAGGAGCTGATGGAGCTGAAAACCAAGGCTCGAGAACTACGTGAAGAATGCAGAAGCCTCAGGAGCCGATGCGATCAACTGGAAGAAAGGGTATCAGCAATGGAAGATGAAATGAATGAAATGAAGCGAGAAGGGAAGTTTAGAGAAAAAAGAATAAAAAGAAATGAGCAAAGCCTCCAAGAAATATGGGACTATGTGAAAAGACCAAATCTACGTCTGATTGGTGTACCTGAAAGTGATGTGGAGAATGGAACCAAGTTGGAAAACACTCTGCAGGATATTATCCAGGAGAACTTCCCCAATCTAGCAAGGCAGGCCAACGTTCAGATTCAGGAAATACAGAGAACGCCACAAAGATACTCCTCGAGAAGAGCAACTCCAAGACACATAATTGTCAGATTCACCAAAGTTGAAATGAAGGAAAAAATGTTAAGGGCAGCCAGAGAGAAAGGTCGGGTTACCCTCAAAGGAAAGCCCATCAGACTAACAGCGGATCTCTCGGCAGAAACCCTACAAGCCAGAAGAGAGTGGGGGCCAATATTCAACATTCTTAAAGAAAAGAATTTTCAACCCAGAATTTCATATCCAGCCAAACTAAGCTTCATAAGTGAAGGAGAAATAAAATACTTTATAGACAAGCAAATGCTGAGAGATTTTGTCACCACCAGGCCTGCCCTAAAAGAGCTCCTGAAGGAAGCGCTAAACATGGAAAGGAACAACCGGTACCAGCTGCTGCAAAATCATGCCAAAATGTAAAGACCATCGAGACTAGGAAGAAACTGCATCAACTAATGAGCAAAATCACCAGCTAACATCATAATGACAGGATCAAATTCACACATAACAATATTAACTTTAAATATAAATGGACTAAATTCTGCAATTAAAAGACACAGACTGGCAAGTTGGATAAAGAGTCAAGACCCATCAGTGTGCTGTATTCAGGAAACCCATCTCACGTGCAGAGACACACATAGGCTCAAAATAAAAGGATGGAGGAAGATCTACCAAGCCAATGGAAAACAAAAAAAGGCAGGGGTTGCAATCCTAGTCTCTGATAAAACAGACTTTAAACCAACAAAGATCAAAAGAGACAAAGAAGGCCATTACATAATGGTAAAGGGATCAATTCAACAAGAGGAGCTAACTATCCTAAATATTTATGCACCCAATACAGGAGCACCCAGATTCATAAAGCAAGTCCTGAGTGACCTACAAAGAGACTTAGACTCCCACACATTAATAATGGGAGACTTTAACACCCCACTGTCAACATTAGACAGATCAACGAGACAGAAAGTCAACAAGGATACCCAGGAATTGAACTCAGCTCTGCACCAAGCAGACCTAATAGACATCTACAGAACTCTCCACCCCAAATCAACAGAATATACATTTTTTTCAGCACCACACCACACCTATTCCAAAATTGACCACATAGTTGGAAGTAAAGCTCTCCTCAGCAAATGTAAAAGAACAGAAATTATAACAAACTATCTCTCAGACCACAGTGCAATCAAACTAGAACTCAGGATTAAGAATCTCACTCAAAGCCGCTCAACTACATGGAAACTGAACAACCTGCTCCTGAATGACTACTGGGTACATAACGAAATGAAGGCAGAAATAAAGATGTTCTTTGAAACCAACGAGAACAAAGACACCACATACCAGAATCTCTGGGACGCATTCAAAGCAGTGTGTAGAGGGAAATTTATAGCACTAAATGCCTACAAGAGAAAGCAGGAAAGATCCAAAATTGACACCCTAACATCACAATTAAAAGAACTAGAAAAGCAAGAGCAAACACATTCAAAAGCTAGCAGAAGGCAAGAAATAACTAAAATCAGAGCAGAACTGAAGGAAATAGAGACACAAAAAACCCTTCAAAAAATCAATGAATCCAGGAGCTGGTTTTTTGAAAGGATCAACAAAATTGATAGACCGCTAGCAAGACTAATAAAGAAAAAAAGAGAGAAGAATCAAATAGACACAATAAAAAATGATAAAGGGGATATCACCACCGATCCCACAGAAATACAAACTACCATCAGAGAATACTACAAACACCTCTATGCAAATAAACTAGAAAATCTAGAAGAAATGGATACATTCCTCGACACATACACTCTCCCAAGACTAAACCAGGAAGAAGTTGAATCTCTGAATAGACCAATAACAGGCTCTGAAATTGTGGCAATAATCAATAGTTTACCAACCAAAAAGAGTCCAGGACCAGATGGATTCACAGCCGAATTCTACCAGAGGTACAAGGAGGAACTGGTACCATTCCTTCTGAAACTATTCCAATCAATAGAAAAAGAGGGAATCCTCCCTAACTCATTTTATGAGGCCAGCATCATTCTGATACCAAAGCCGGGCAGAGACACAACCAAAAAAGAGAATTTTAGACCGATATCCTTGATGAACATTGATGCAAAAATCCTCAATAAAATACTGGCAAACCGAATCCAGCAGCACATCAAAAAGCTTATCCACCATGATCAAGTGGGCTTCATCCCTGGGATGCAAGGCTGGTTCAATATACGCAAATCAATAAATGTAATCCAGCATATAAACAGAGCCAAAGACAAAAACCACATGATTATCTCAATAGATGCAGAAAAAGCCTTTGACAAAATTCAACAACCCTTCATGCTAAAAACTCTCAATAAATTAGGTATTGATGGGACGTATTTCAAAATAATAAGAGCTATCTATGACAAACCCACAGCCAATATCATACTGAATGGGCAAAAACTGGAAGCATTCCCTTTGAAAACTGGCACAAGACAGGGATGCCCTCTCTCACCGCTCCTATTCAACATAGTGTTGGAAGTTCTGGCCAGGGCAATCAGGCAGGAGAAGGAAATAAAGGGTATTCAATTAGGAAAAGAGGAAGTCAAATTGTCCCTGTTTGCAGACGACATGATTGTTTATCTAGAAAACCCCCTCGTCTCAGCCCAAAATCTCCTTAAGCTGATAAGCAATTTCAGCAAAGTCTCAGGATACAAAATCAATGTACAAAAATCACAAGCATTCTTATACACCAACAACAGACAAACAGAGAGCCAAATCATGGGTGAACTCCCATTCACAATTGCTTCAAGGAGAATAAAATACCTAGGAATCCAACTTACAAGGGATGTGAAGGACCTCTTCAAGGAGAACTACAAACCACTGCTCAAGGAAATAAAAGAAGACACAAACAAATGGAAGAACATTCCATGCTCATGGGTAGGAAGAATCAATATCGTGAAAATGGCCATACTGCCCAAGGTAATTTACAGATTCAATGCCATCCCCATCAAGCTACCAATGACTTTCTTCACAGAATTGGAAAAAACTACTTTAAAGTTCATATGGAACCAAAAAAGAGCCCGCATCGCCAAGTCAATCCTAAGCCAAAAGAACAAAGCTGGAGGCATCACACTACCTGACTTCAAACTATACTACAAGGCTACAGTAACCAAAACAGCATGCTACTGGTACCAAAACAGAGATATAGATCAATGGAACAGAACAGAGCCCTCAGAAATAATGCCGCATATCTACAACTATCTGATCTTTGACAAACCTGAGAAAAACAAGCAATGGGGAAAGGATTCCCTATTTAATAAATGGTGCTGGGAAAACTGGCTAGCCATATGTAGAAAGCTGAAACTGGATCCCTTCCTTACACCTTATACAAAAATCAATTCAAGATGGATTAAAGATTTAAACGTTAAACCTAAAACCATAAAAACCCTAGAAGAAAACCTAGGCATTACCATTCAGGACATAGGCATGGGCAAGGACTTCATGTCCAAAACACCAAAAGCAATGGCAACAAAAGACAAAATTGACAAATGGGATCTAATTAAACTAAAGAGCTTCTGCACAGCAAAAGAAACTACCATCAGAGTGAACAGGCAACCTACAACATGGGAGAAAATTTTCGCAACCTACTCATCTGACAAAGGGCTAATATCCAGAATCTACAATGAACTCAAACAAATTTACAAGAAAAAAACAAACAACCCCATCAAAAAGTGGGTGAAGGACATGAACAGACACTTCTCAAAAGAAGACATTTATGCAGCCAAAAAACACATGAAAAAATGCTCATCATCACTGGCCATCACAGAAATGCAAATCAAAACCACTATGAGATATCATCTCACACCAGTTAGAATGGCAATCATTAAAAAGTCAGGAAACAACAGGTGCTGGAGAGGATGTGGAGAAATAGGAACACTTTTACACTGTTGGTGGGACTGTAAACTAGTTCAACCATTGTGGAAGTCAGTGTGGCGATTCCTCAGGGATCTAGAAGTAGAAATACCATTTGACCCAGCCATCCCATTACTGGGTATATACCCAAAGGACTATAAATCATGCTGCTATAAAGACACATGCACACGTATGTTTATTGCGGCACTATTCACAGTAGCAAAGACTTGGAACCAACCCAAATGTCCAACAATGATAGACTGGATTAAGAAAATGTGGCACATATACACCATGGAATACTATGCAGCCATAAAAAATGATGAGTTCATGTCCTTTGTAGGGACATGGATGAAATTGGAAACCATCATTCTCAGTAAACTATCGCAAGAACAAAAAACCAAACACCGCATATTCTCACTCATAGGTGGGAATTGAACAATGAGATCACTTGGACACAGGAAGGGGAATATCACACTCTGGGGACTGTGGTGGGGTGGGGGGAAGGGGGAGGGATAGCACTGGGAGATATACCTAATGCTAGATGACACGTTAGTGGGTGCAGCGCACCAGCATGGCACATGTATACATATGTAACTAACCTGCACAATGTGCACATGTACCCTAAAACTTAGAGTATAATAATAAAAAAAAAAAATAGTTTCTATTGCTAGTACTTCAAAGTCCCTGATCTTTTTTTCCTTATGGTGTCTAATTTGTTCAGTAATTGATAGAACAATTAAACAAAAAATGAAAATATAAAGTACTTGAACCTTTTAATTTTTTTAATCTAATTTGTTTTTGTAGAACACTCCATCCAATAGCAGAAAACACATTATTTTTAAGTGCACATAAAAGATTCACCAAGCTAGACCACACTTGGGACCATAAACAAAACTCAGTATAAGTTTAAAAGATTAAAATCATACAAAGCATGTCACCTGACAATACTAAAGGTAAATTAAAAATCAATAAAAGAGATTCCTAAAAAGTTTCCAAATATTGGAAAAAAATTTTAAACCCATTACAAAATTACAAAAATACTTAACTAAATTAAATTTAAAATATACATTATATCAAAACCTGTAGGAAGCAGCTAATAAAATGTCTAGAGGAAGATTTATTGCATTACATTCTTCTATTAGAAATTGAAAACTCTCTAAATCAATTATTTAAACTTATTCATAAAGAAATTTGAAAAAGAAGGGTAATTGAAAGCCAAAGTAAGCAGAAGAAATGAGAAGGCAAGGTAATGAAATAGAAAACAAAAAATATATAGAAAATTCATTCAACAACATAAAAAGCTGGAGGTTTTTTACAAAAGATCAATAAAACTGATAAACTTCCAATGAGAAAGTACAAAAACAGACAAAAATTATCATTGTAACAGAAAGAATATTGCTACAGTTTCTACATGATTTAAAAGCATAATCAGAGACTGTAATGAGCAATTTAATGCCAATGAACTTGACAACTTAAATGAAATGAGAAAATTCCTGAAAGACACAAACTGCCAAAGCTCACTCAGAGAGAAAGAGGCATATTAAATAGCTCTACATCTATTGAAAAAAATTGAATCAATGGTTAAAATCTTCCCACAAAGGAAACTCCAGTTCCAGAGGTCTTCATTGGTGAATCTACCAAACATTTAAAGAAGCAATGAAGCAATTCTGCAGAAATTCTTCTGGAAAATAGAAGAGGGAAGAACACTTTCCAACCCATTTTATAAAGCTAGTGCTGCCTTGATATTAGAACCAGAGAAAGATATTACAAGAGAACTCTAGGCTAATATTCCAAGAAACATAGCAGCAAAAATCCTTCAGAAATTTCTAAAAATTGGATTCAATAAATGAAAAAGCATTATGACTAATTTTGGCTTATCTGAGGAATCAAAGATTGAATTGACATTTTAAAAAAATCAACTTTATTCACCATATTAGCAGACTAAAAAAGAAGAAATATATGTTCATTTTAATGAATGCAGCAAAAGAATTTAACAAAATTCAATGTCTGTTTAAATCAAAAACTCTCAGTAAACTGGGAACAGAGGATAACTTCTTCAATCTAAAAAAGAGCATACACCTAATGCCACACTTTTAAAAGGTTGAAAGCTTTCCCCTTTCAAGGTAAGAATGCTTTCAGCACTTGTATTCACCATTGTGCTAGAGGACTTTGTCAGTGCAATAATGCAAGAAAAAGAAAAAAAAAGACATCAAACTGGAAAGAAAGAAGTAAAACTGCCTTTATTCAGAGATGATATGATTGTATTTGTACAAAATCCTAAAGAATATTTTAAAAAAGAATCCACAAAGAAGCTAGGAGAACCAGTAAGTTCTAGGAGAATAAATAAGTTTAGCAAGGTCATAAGATAAAATATCAATATAAAAATTCAATCCTATTCTCACATCCTGGTAACTGAAATTGGAACTGAAAAATAAAATGGAAATTGTTGAAAAGCAAAATAAAGAAAAAACCACAACAGTGTCAAAAGCATAGAATACTTAGAGATAAACTTACCAAGCATGAGGAAAATCCTTTATTTTTGGATTACAAACCATAGTTGTGAGACATTTAAAAAGGTCTAAACAAATACAGAAATATATCATGTTTAGGGATCGAAAGTCTCAATAATGCTAAGATGTGAATTCTGCCGAAATTGATCTGTACAATCAAATTGTTCACCACAATCTCAATCAAAATCCAAAACTTTAAAAATTTTAAAACTCCAAAATTTTAAAAATAAAAACAAAGTTGTAAGCCTTATGCTACCTTATTTAACAATTTATTTTAAGTGTGGTATTGGCATAATTTAGACATCTAAGTCTGTACTACAAAATAGAGAAGTCCAGTAATAAACCTACACATACATGGCTAGGTAATTTTGGCAAGGGTGATGATGTCATTAAAAGGTGCAAAGGATCATTTTCTTTAACAAATGGTGCTGGAAGAACTGGATGTCTATGTGCTAGCCAGCCTGCAAGATGTCCCCCAATAATCTTTGCTCATAGGTATTCAGATCTTCGTGTAGTGCCCTCCCATTGAATTGGAGCAGATTTATGTGACCAATAGAATACAGAACTGAGAGAAATGACTTCTAAGCAGGAGCGGCCCTCACAATATGGAAATCAGATCATTTTTCTCCCCTGTTGAAAGTATTTCAATAGCTTTCTGCCTCACCCAATATAATTTGAAGTCCTCACCTTGGCTTAATAATATCTTTGATGAATACTTCTCTGACTCCATCTTCCACCCCTCTCTCCCTTACTTTGTCAGAACGTGGCCTTCACTGTTGCTTGAATCTGCCTTGACCTTGAAATCAGCATTGTTTGCCCCCTGACTTGACTCTGATCTCAGATTACATAAATGTCCCATTAACAGGGAGTTCATCCTCACTACATGTCTAAAATAACCCAGCCCCCCATAACTCTGAACACTGTATTGCTTATCTCTGCAGCACATATCACCACGTGACACACAGCACATCTACATGTCTGCTCGTTTATCCTGTTGCCTCCTCTTTCCACTCCACACACTGGAAAGTAAGATCCATCAAAGTGGCAACTTTGTTCTATTCATGTAATCCCTAAAGCCTGGAAAAACACCTAGAATGGGTAGGTACTCATGAAATATGTTGAATGCGTAACGTAAATAAGCCTCTGTATTTTATCAGACTGGGAAAACAGGAACATGAGAAGTTAAAATGAGGCCAAAATTCAAAAGAGGAGAAATGCAAAGGAAAAGAAAATGGGGGCAAAAAACTGGGGTTTATCACAAGATCATGGCAGCTCCAGAGAGTGTTCAAAAGCTCACAGTCTGGGTCAGCTAATGAGAGGGCATTGAAGAAATATTCCAGGGTTAAGCCGAGAGAGAAAGTTTACAACGATCTAAGCAGCTCTGCTTGCAGGTACCTGGTCAGGTTGGGCAGACCCTCAAAACAGAAAACAAATAAAATAGTGCAGGAATAGTTTTGGTACTACCTGAAGAAACCGTAGTTACTCTGAAACTGACTAATTTCTGGGTTACCATGAGGAGAAGGTGAGTTATATGAAAGAGAAAGTTAACTGAGGTAAAATGGGGACTTGGGGGGCAGATTATGTTCTGATGATGGCAAATTTTTTTTTTTTAAAAAGTCAGGTGGCGATTCCTCAGGGATCTAGAACTAGAAATACCATTTGACCGAGCAATCCCATTACTGGGTATATACCCAAAGGATTATAAATCTTGCTGCTATAAAGACACATGCACACGTATGTTTATTGTGGCACTATTCAAAATAGCAAAGATTTGGAACCAACCCAAATGTCCAACAATGATAGACTGGATTAAGAAAATGTGGCACATATATACCATGGAATACTATGCAGCCATAAAAAATGATGAGTTCATGTCCTCTGTAGGGACATGGATGAAGCTGGAAACCATCATTCTCACCAAACTATCCCAAGGACAAAAAACCAAACACTGCATGTTCTCACTCATAGGTGGGAACTGAACAATGAGAACACATGGACACAGGAAGGGGGACATCACACACCAGGGCCTGTTGTGGGGTCGGGGGAGGGGGGAGGGAGAGCATTTGGAGATATACCTAATGTTAAACGACGAGTTACTGGGTGCAGCACACCAACATGGCACATGTATACATATGTAACAAACCTGCACGTTGTGCACATGTACCCTAAAACTTAAAGTATAATTAAAAAAAAAAGACCTTAAAATTCACAGTTCAAGAAGCCATCCTCAGCTCTGCTTCCTCCATCACCTTTCTTCCTGAAGCCCTCCTGACTTATTTTCCCACCAATGTAGGGCAGAGGCACCATGGAGGTACCTTGATTGAGGTGGAGACTGTTGTTTCCCAATATCCATTTTCCCCCTCTTCCCTTTCATTGAGGACCCCTCTGGGTTTCACCTCGGCACCTGACCACCCAACTATAGACTACAATGCTTTGTCCCAGTTGATTCTAGGGATGGATTTGTGACTGATTTCACAACAGTGGGATTCCAGTGGAACTGACCTGTCCAAATCCTTTGTGATCTTCTTAGGCATACTCACCATGCACTGGCCCTTTCCTGCCGTCTGGAGCATAGAAACGCCACCTGGCCAGCCTGGATCCCTAGATGACTTTGTGGAGGAAAACCTTCATATCTACCCTGGTCTGTTTAACAAGAGAGAAATGAACCTTCTCTTTAGGTCCCTTTGCTACAATTATGTAGCTGGCATCCTAAATACTGCACTGGTGCAATGGCATAGAGGAAAAGGTATAGAATCTAGAGTCAGAAATTCTCTAGTTCACAGCCCACACCTGCTACTCACCAGGCAAGCATTTCCGAACCTTGTTTCTGCAAAATAAAAGAGTGATAATAAAACCTGCCTTGCAAGGGGTTACATGTTTACAACTTTAGAAACACCAATAGTGTCTCATCCTTGGTATTCACTCAGTAAAATGCTTGACTTATTATTATTATTATTATTATTATTATTATTAAGACGGAGTTTTGCTCTTTGTTGCCCAGGCTGGAGTGCGGTGGCATGATCTCAGCTCGCTGCAATCTCTGCCTCCTGGGTTCAAGCGATTCTCCTGTCTCAGCCTCCCTAGTAGCTGGGATTACAGGCACCTGCCACCATGCCCGACTAATTTTTGTATTTTTAGTAGAGATGGGGTTTCACTGTGTTGGCCAGGTTAGTCTCGAACTTCTGACCTCAGGTGATCTGCCCGCCTTGGCCTCCCAGAGTGCTGGGATTACAGGCGTGAGCCACCGTGCCTACTATTCATTGTATTGGCCATACACAAATGCCTACCAGAAGTGACAGCATGTCAGGAAAGGAAGGGATAAAGGAGAAGAGAGGCAGCAAGTTCTTTGGGTCTATCTGCCCAGCTTGCCCCTACCATCCTTCCTGAGTTCTTAAGGAGTGGCACTCACCACTACGCATTCTATGCCAGATGAAGACATCCTCATAGGCTAGGATGGGAAGTCTTCATGGCTTCCCTTGGCCCTCTCCAGTTTTCTTAATCTTACTTAAGTCAAGTCATTTTCCATCCCCAATCAATCACTTCACAGAAGCCCCAGTGACAATGCACTGCATCCTGCTCTCAGTCACGTGCTTTCCCTTTAGCTGAAAAAGCTAAAAACTGAAGACAAAGCAATACCTCCATGATCCTCCAAATAGGATTTCTATGGTTTTAAAACCCTCAATGAGGAAATGCCTGAAAATAACTTCTCAGCTGGAACAAGACCAGTGCTGCACAAGTCCTCCAAAAATCCCTGCGGACGGTTTCCCTCCTCCTCTTTCTAACTTTCCCTTTAAAAAAATCTGTACTTCAGATTTGCAACTTTCACATCAACTGTGGAAATCTCAGACAAACATGGGCCAAAAAAAAAAAAGTCTTCCCAGATATGATGTACTGTAATGTTTACCATTTTAAAAGAGTCACTTCTTAGCCTGCTGCACAGTAAATAACCCATTTGTTTCACTCAAATCACTTCACATAATAAAGGACTTGTGTAAATTCAGCAGGAGTTCTGTCATCCCTAGGTGATGAGTTGGCATTGGAGGATTTATCTCTACCATCCACCAGTATGAAAAGCTGGTGCTGCGCTTTTTAACACGACAAAAACAGTGAGAAAGTTGCAGTTCTGGCTTGTGAATTCATCAAGAGCTGACTTCATGAAATCTTAATGAACAGATTCAAGCAAGGGCTGGGAATAACTCATTCAGGCAAACAAAAATGCATTAATGCAACATTAAGCTCAAGAAATATAAACCTACAGAGCCTAAAAATTTAGTCAGTGCAGGTGAAATAAATAGTATCTTTTGTATATGCATATTTATGCATAGCAAGAGACAGACAGAGACAGAAAGAGAGCAAGCACACAAATAACTATAACTCAGTATACAATGATGTAACATTGTCCAATGAAACTTTCAGTAATGATGGGTTAATAACCTCAGGTCAAAAGCCGCCCTTGGACTTGCTCCAAAAAATGCTGTCAGCAAGGGAGAATATGACCCAGCATTATACTGAGAATCCCTGAAAACGGAATTTACTCCAATATCTGAAGGCACAGATACATAACAGGTTGGAGGTGCCCAATTTGTGTTTTCTTCCTGGCTAAAGATTTGTGTTTTTCTTTGCTAATAAGCCTAACTCCCATTTGCCTTTCTTTGCCAGTGTCTCTGGGGAGTGCTCCGTTGACAGTGACGGTCTTCAGGAGCCCACCCTTTCAACTAGAACTCACAGCCAGGATAGATTGAAGTCTGAGGTTTCCAGCAAAAACAGGGGCAGGGATGATGGTGAAACCTTGCCAATAACAGTGAAATCATGGCGGGCTCTGAGGTTCAACAAATATTTATGGAATTTTTTTTTCGTATGCCAGATGGTCATTTCCTTACCTCAACACTATGAAGTCTCACTACCCTTGTCTCTTTCTGGGATGAAGGAGCCAAAACTGAATTAGGGGAGGTGCTAGCGTGGTGCTCAGCTCGTGAGTTGGTAGCCAAGACGTCACCTTCCTCCTGCCTGACCACCTGCATTTTCACTTATTCATGTTGCACTATGTAAATTTTGTCCAATTCTGCTGTCCACATGCAAGTCCCCACTGTGCCAAGACATGTGGTTCCTTCCTTTGCTGCCACCCGTGAAGTAGCAAAGGCCTAGAGTTGAGAGTGAAATGCAAAGGGCACTTTCCCCAAGGAATTCATTAGAGTTGCAAGGAGGACTAGAATAGGGCAGGTTTTGTTTCTCCATCCATATGCACCAGGGCTGCCACAGTTACTTTCTCTGAGCTGCTCCCATACCCAATGGAAATCATTCTAAGCAGTGAGTTGGCACAAGCTGCTTTTTAAATAAAAGTGCTTCACACCCCGGACATCTCAAAACGATAGCAAATAGAACCAGAGCTGAAGAGATAACAGTTGGACTATTTGAGCTAATGGTCGTTTTAGCTCCCTATAAACATTTTATTATTAATTCCATAAATGGTTAATATGAAACCCTTTATAATGCTTTCACTTAGGACTTGGTAAAATCATCCACTTGTTAGGTCTATAACTGGGAAAATTGCAATACAAATATAAGTGATCATCATATTTTGGTCACATGTGGTTAATTTTTCTTAGATAAAACACTGAGGAACCCAATATGGAAATGTCAAAATTGCCTCGGAGTGAAAAACTCAATTTGAATATTTATGTACATGCTCCAAGTTGAGGCAATCCAACAAACTGTTTAATAAAGACAAAAGGATTCAGCTGTTTGTGCACTTTAATTTGCAAAACAAAGAACATCACATAAATGTGATTTAGTTATATTATTACACACTTTAATTTATTATTCATGCATCTTATTTTCTATAACCAAAACAATAAGACATGTGTTGCAAAATATCAGCATTGCCACAATTCAAACCACTTACAGGAAAACTTTGGTTAACCAGGACACAGTCAAGCTAGGAGTCCAGATATACCAAGGGTGTGCATAGATGCACAGAAGTGTGATTACAAGAGAGAAAGAGAAGATATATTTTTAATTAGTAAAGGTAAAAATAAAATAAAATAGGCCAGCGTGCAGAAAATCTTTAACTCTCTTGGCCTAGTGCCACCAGAAGCTATTTTCCTGTTTAATGTGCTTGTTCATCATCTCTACCCCCAGCTAGAATGTACACTTTGGAAATTGAGGCCTTCCTGCTCTTATCTCCACTGTTTCCCCCTTGACTACAGCAGTGTCTACCTCTTCTGGTGCTCAAGTCATTCAGTTGCATAAAGGCATGGATGAGCAGTCTCTCCAGCTCAGTGTATACCACAGACTTAGGATCTGCATGGCCAGTAAGAAATGACATCATCATGACCCCAGGCCCCCACTGGCCCAAAGGCACATTTGTAATCTGACTGTTTGCTTGGTTTTCTTAATTGTAGCAAAATATACATAACATAAAATGTACCATTTTAATCATTTTTCAGTATACAGTTCAGGGGCATTAAGCACATATACAATGTTGTGTTGCTATCTCCATCATCCATCTCCAGAACTTTTTCATCTTGCAAAATGGAAACTCTGTACCCAATGAAGATAGCTCCCCAATTCCCCTTCCCCTGAGCCCCAGCATCCACCATTCTTTCTGTATTTGTGATTTTGATTACGTTAAGCTCCTCATAAGTGTGGACTCAAACAATATGTGTTCTTTTGTGACAGGTTTATTTCACTTAGCATGATGTCCTCAACGTTCACCCACGTTGCAGCAAGTGTCAGAATTTCCTTCCTTTTTGAGGCTGAATAATATTCCACTAAATGTGTATACTGCGTTTTGGTTACCCTTTCATCCATCAGAAGCCACCTGGGTCACATTTGGTTTTGATGGCATGTACTGTCTAGGATTTTTTTGTGTGTTTGTTTTATTCTGTTTAATTCATTTTGCATGTCTTTAGATAGGGCACATCTTCTCCAATTTTTCACCCTCACCTGCTCTGTCCTGACTCCTCACCCAGCTTAATCATTTACTCCTTCTTTCTGTGTCTTTCTATGAAGATTAAATTTTGCTGATTATATTCTACTTGCTAAGGCAGAAATAGGAATAATACATATTAGAAGTCAAGAATTAAACCAGGGAAGAAGTTTCTACTTAACTTCTATTTGGTAGTTTTGGTAAACCTTAAAGGAAAACATCTATTCCTTGAGCACTTCAGACATTTGAGGTTTTATTCAGTACATTTGAGGGGCATTTTCCTCTGATCACTTAGTCCTAAATCATTTTATACAATTCCAGTATGATCAAACGGGCAGGTTTGTGCACCTAGCATATTCTGACCTAGATTTGGTAGATTGCCTGAATTCCTCCTTTTCATTCATTCATTCAATACATGTTTATTGAGTGTCTATAACTTGTAAGGCTTTGTACTATTAGGTTGGTGCAAAAGTAATTGCACCAAGCTAATAGCTTTGCAGATACAAGCATTAGCAAAATTTACATAGCTTTGGCCCTTGTGAGCACACTCTTGAGAGGCGCCAATATTGAGCAAAGAGTATTCAAAGTAATGTAAAATTTCAGCATGAAAACCTACTAGGTGAATTCCAAACAGTGAAAGGAGTATGGTGCTACTTTAGCAAATAGCAGGGAAATCTGATGTAGTCCCAAATGTGAGTGCGTGGTGTGTGCTGGGGAGGGCGGTGGCGAACTGGAAGTGAGTGTTCTTCTGTCAGTCTGACAATGCGTACGAAGTTATCTAGGGGAGAAGTAATGGGATAGATAACCTCATTTCCTTTCCTTCCCATTCATTCATTCATTCATTCATTCAGTCAGTCAATCAATTTTATTGAACATCTACTATGTGCCTGGCACAGTGTTAGGCACTAGGGGTATAATGATGAACAAGACACGCATGGCCCTTACCTATATGGAACTTACGTCCTAGTGGAGAGAAACAATAAAACACAAGTACAGAAACAAAAACACAAGAAAAAGAAATAATGGCAAATATTGAAGGAGCAGTGAAAGAAACCAACTAAGGCTTAAATGGAGAATAACATGGTGGAGGAACCACTTTAAGTAGGGTGGTCAGGTAAGGCTTCTTTGAGAAGGGAACATTTAAATGAAGTCTGAAAAGATGAGAAAGAACAGATTGTACAATAAAATGGAAGGAAAAGCATTGTGACCAAAAGGAACAGCATAAGCAAAGCAAGGGATGAATCTGGAAAACCACTGGCTGAAAAACAATGTGAGGTTTGGGACTTGGGCAGCTGCTTCCCAGGCCTTGGCAATGAGTTTAGGATTTTGGTTGGGTGTTCATTTATTTTCAGGCTTTTGTTTGTTTTTGACATAATTAGAGAAGTGACAAGATCTGAACTCTGCCATAGGAAGACTGCCTTTGCTGCTCTGTGGAGCATGAATTAGGGATGCCATTTAGGTGCAGCCCAAGTGAGGGATGGTGGTGTCCTGGCCTCTGCATTTTCATTGCTTTGTTTTCTTCGGAATCCACCCACCTCATTCCCCACTAGGATGTCAGCTCCTTGCAAGGGAAGTACTTCTGTCTGATTTTGTTCATGGCCGTACACCAAGGGCCTGAGAGCGCCTGGAATGCAGGAGGTGGTACTCAACAAATACTTGTTATTGTGAGGTAAGATCATCAGCCTTCTGAATAATGGTCTTGACCTGCTTACTTTTACTCATCAAGATCTCGACCAGGGTAAATTTACTGAAACGGTGTCTGTGGTGGGGGTTCTTATCATTTTCACTTGGCTTGAGAATTCTCAGTGAACACGCCAGCAGTCTCACTCTACTTTCAAGCGAAGATTTAGTATCTAGAAGCGGCAGTAAGATTGCAGATCGCGAAGGCTTCATTACCTTTACAAAACAGACTACAGGGCATTTACTTGTGTGCTCTGAAATATTATCATAAAACTAAACCGCACTTGTCAAAACAAACAAGCAAAGTAAATTCCAGGAGGCATTATAGCCTCAATAGCAATTGCATTACTTTTACAAGCTAATTCATAAAACCAAATAATTCATAATGGTGCACCCCTTCATAAATGTGACTGTGTGAGACCCTATAGCATTAATACATCAATGCAGATGTGTAAATAACTATACTGATCCCTCAATAAAAGTGTTTTATTCTCATCACTATTGGATAAATATGCCACTGGAATAATTTACTTCTTTTCCCTCTTGAAATAATATTTCTAAAGGTAAAAATTTAGATTCAGAAAATTGTTTAAAACTAAGTTTGATTAGAGTCTGCCAAACTTCAAAAGAGGAAAATGGATGATAACTAATAATAATAACAGTAATAATATGAAAGCATTTGGTATGGAAAGCTCATGACTTCACATACTTCAGCCAATTAGTCACCTGAACATTTCCAATTATTCACGTGTGTTGGCATTGTGCAAATAAAACATCTGAATGACTGACTGCATTTTTCTTTTCTCATTCAGAGGTTTTTTATTCAATATTATTGCAATTTTTAGAGGAGAAGCAGTGCTTTTAAAGGGTACTTTCGCACAACATGCTTTGATTTGATTTATCAACAGAGTAAAAATACCTATTAGTCATTTAGTTCATCTCTCTCCACAACTCTGACTTCTTGCTTTATATATGGCATAGGACAGGTAAATCTCACAGATACTAACATAAAATAATGCTTAATATGCATATGATCCTTCCAGTTTCAAATACCCTTTCATATTCCAAATTGAGTAAATACAAAAAGAGCCATTTTTTTAGATCCAGCTGGAGTCTTCCAGAAAATGATACTTCATATATACATTATGTGGAAAAGTAAATGCATTGTAAAACATGAAAATGTATATCCTGATATTCATTAAATGCCTACAGGATCATAGTTCCAGCTGCAGTTGACCAGAGATTCTTACCTGAAATCACTCACTGGAATTATAAGAGTTTGTATCATGGAAGTGTCCAGTTAGAACTAACAGCAACTTTGTTTTCAGGGTTTAATCATAACTGCATGTTTGCATCCAGTGGGTATAATAGACCTTATGTCTTAATCCTTGTGAAACATTTGCTTCATTTGGAAGGTAGATTGGTATTTTCAATGGAAATGATCATACACTTATTAAGAGCTATTTCAAACTGGCATCTAGTAGGAAGCTTTGGATTGCCTAAAATACAGTATAAAGTGTCTTGAGGGTGTGGAGTAGGGGTAGAGGAGGACTTGAAAGGGTGAGAGATTACTCAGTTGAATTATGAAAAGAAGAATCAGGAAGATTTAAAATAAAATGGCAAAGAAATGAAAAATATCGCAAGCATTCTTGAAGCATTCTCGTAAGACTCTATAATATAGTATGAATTTGTTCTTGAAAATACCTTGACTTGAAAGCTTTTGAAATTCTTTGATGAAAATTGTCATCTGAGTACAAAGCAATAGCATTATTAGTAATTATTACTATAAGACATTAATTGAAACTAGCAATAGAGGAATTTGTAGTAAGTTTCACAAGTGTAAATAGTACATATCTTACTAACATTTTGCAAAAAAAAATGAACATAAACATTATTATTTTTACTCTTTCTGCACATGGAAAACAAACATTAGAACCAGATGAGTAAAACTATCAAAGATGCCAAAGGGCATTCAATAGCCCAGAAATAGGATTCTTAAGAGAATGGTTTCAGTTCTTACTATGATTTCATTTAACCCACCTCATTTATTCATCAACTGTGTTTTGAGCACTGACTATGTTCCAGGCATTGTGCTAGGAACTGCTGACCAACAGAGGACCTAAAAGAGACCCCATCTTCAAGAATCTAAGAGCTGGGTGGGATATCTACATGAGTTTAACCAGTTTTATTTTTATTAGTTGTAGTAAGAGTAGTATCATTATTAATATTTGATTGAGTCTCAATTCAGTAGTAGTAGAAACATGAAATATTTAATTTCTGTGCAGCCAGAGGAACTTCTGGGTTCCTCTGACATGGTTTGGGCAGGTATTGGGAGTGGTCCTCGTCTTCTTTCTAAATGCAAAGTGCCTATTTATCACTAATCGATGGAACGGGCTATTTCAAAGGACCTCTTACCTCTACCAATCCCTACTCTACACCAAAACCTGGACTCAGTGCACTTCTCAGGTATGCCCCCAAGCTCCAGGAGAAATCAATACAGTAAACAGTCAATTAAGATTTCGTTTTTAAGGGCCAAGATAGAGCACACACGGATAAAGCAGAAATTCACAGAGGAGGTTCCTAACCCAACCCCAGAGACTTAGGGGAGACTGAGGTGTGAATTGGCTTACAGGATCATGTATCCACGGTGAAAACTAGTACTAGACATTCCTCACGGGTGCTATGTGTATTGCTCAAATTAGGGAATCTTCCTCTAATCTGAAGAGTTATCCTAGGCCTCGCTCAAATTTTAATTCCAATTGTTGTCATGTTGGAGGCTTAAAGAAGTATGGAATAATTCAAGGAAGGATAATGTATCTTATTTCTGCCAGGGGAGTCAATTATCCTGTGAACCGAGGAAGAACTCTGGTTCAGAGCTTTCTGAATGCAACGTGGGAATAGCTGGGGAGGAAAATGTTGCTGTGTCAGAAAGAAAAACCAAACAAACAAACAGAAAAAACAAAGTGAGGCAAATGGCAGAATGTACAAACAAGGATAGAGACTGTGGGAACCTCAAGTGAATCCCCTGACTCCACTAATTAGACGACACTGTTGGGGCTTTGCACTAAAATGCGAGGTGAACCACTTGGAAAGGATCCAGAGGAAGGCAATGATGGTACCCCACAGTCTAGGGGCACCGGGGATATTGACGCTGTCGGAAGAAAGCTCAGAGACAGTTTGCAGTCGCTGTGTCAGCATAAAAAAGAGAATCATAGGTAGGACAAGGTGAAAGGGTCAGGCGTCAGCATGGGGATTTGGGTTACGCCGGTTCCAAAAATAATCACTCGTTCACGTGCTTGGGGAAGGCCATCACCCAGGAAGAGGTGATTTGATGACTGGATGTGCAGAGGAGGTCAAGACCCCCGAAATCAGTAAGGGCTGCCCAAGCCCCTCGGGAGCCATCTGCCCACGAGTCACTGTCCCTTAAGACAAGAATGGCATTCTCACTCCTCTACTGACCCACCCCACAGCAGCCTTTTGCCAAATAACTGCATCAACAACGACGTCCCAGAGCCCAGAAAAGAAACACAGGCTTTTGGCAAATCATGGGCCCAAGGCAGGTGCTTAGGGAGTTTCCTTTATTTTTTCCCTTTCTTTTTCTTAGAAATAGTTTAAAGGTTTCGTTCTTTGCATTTTTTTGTTTCTGTATTTATAAAAGTATAATAAATAATTCAAAAGAAAGGCAGAAGTACATAAAATATAGAACTGAACTATCCAATACAGTAGTCACTAGCTACATGTGGCTTTCGCGCACATGAAATGTGGTTACTCCAAATTGGGAAGGGCTGTAAGTCTATGACGCACCTGGATTTCAAAGTCTCTGGATCAGAAAATGATGAAAAAATATTACATGGATAATTACTTTATATTGATTATAGGTTGAAATGATGATATTTGTGCAGACTAGATTACATATTATATATACTATTAAAGTTAATGCATCCATTTCTTTTTACTTTTTTAAATGTGGCTACTAGAAAATTTAAAATTAAATATGTGGTTCACATTCGTGGCTCTCATTATTCTTCTGTTGAACAGAGCGAACACAGAATACAAAACCAAAGTCTTTAGTCCTGAGCATTCCGATCCTCAGAAAAAGCACTCATAACATTTTGTGTATTCATCAGAACTTCTTTGATACATACACAGCAAAAAACAAAATAGGACCATTTTGTATGTATTTTACTGAAATTGGCTTTGTCTTTCACCTAATAATATATACAGGAGGTGCTTCAATGTTGGCACAGCAACATTTCTCTCATTCTTCATTATTGCTGCATGGATGTTGCATCGATGTTCCCTAAACCCATTTAACATTCCCTTATTCATGGAACTTAAGCTTTTTCCTTTTCTTCCCCCTTTGTAATAACATCACAGACCTCTTATTGGAATTGCTGAGTCAAAGAGAATGAACATTTTTAATTTCGATAGAGACTACCCAATTGTTTTCTAAAAAGCAATCATCAAATTATATTACCAGCTAGTATGAAAATATCAATTTTTCACACCTTTACCGAGTTTTTAAAATTGTATCCAATCTGATGGATGCAATTTATATCGTTTACATTTGGTTTTCGCTGATAACTGCTGAGGTTGAGTATTTTTTCACCTGGTTATAACTAGTACAATTACTAAATAGAAAACAACTTCATCCATCTTCAAACTTTCTGTTGAAAACCTAATCTGGGACCAAGACTTTTTCACATTTTCTTCTGTGTCCTTGCTTTACGAATGAAACCTCAGAAAATCTCTTTGTGTTTTCCAGGACTAACAAAAGTCAAAGTCTTCTCATCTCTTCCTGTCATAGGAACCATCTTGCTTCAGGAACTAAAATGTCCAGTCCAGACTCAAGCACGTGGGTCATTCTTTACTTTATTCAGCTTGAAGCTGATCTGTCCTCCAGCTGAGCCTGTCCAGGCTCAAACATTTTCCCTTCCTTTCCTCCCAGACCCAGTAGGGGAGGAGCTGGTAGCTTCCTCCTCACCCCCTACCCTTATACTTACTTTATTAGTTGTTTGGGTTCTTTTCTTGATGTGGGTAGAAGAAGCTCTCTACGTATTCTGCACAAAAAATTCTTTGTCTGATATGTATGTTGAAACTATTTTCTCCCAGCCTGTCACTTCTTTTTTTTAACTTTATCATATCTTTTACCAAATATAGATTTTGAATGTTGATTTATCAAGCTGTTCTTTTAAGTTCTGCAGTTTGTGTTCTTAGCAAAGCTTTCTATACTTCAAGATTACAGAAATAGACTCCTATTTTTATTTTTGTAACAGCATTATTGAGATATAATTCACATGTATTACAATTCTCCCATTAGAGTATACAATAATTTTAATATATTCACAGAATTGTGCAATCATCAACATAATCAATTTTAGAATATTTTCATCACCTTTAAAAGAAACTCTATACCCTTTAGCCATCACCCCCCAGTCCTCCCATTCCTACCAGTCCTGGGCAACCACTAATCTACTTTCTACCTCTATGGATTTGCCTGATTTGGACATTTCATACAAATGGAATCATGTAATATGTAGTCGTTTAAAACTGGCTTCTTTCCCTTAGCATAGGGTTTTCAAGGTTTTCCCATATTGTAGCATGTGTCTGCACTTTGCTCCTTTTTATGGCTGAATAATATTCCATTGTATGGATATACCACATTTTACTTATACATTCATTAGTTCATAGACATTTGGGTTGTTTCCACCTTTTGCTATTATGAACGTTACACTATGAACATTTGTGTGCAAATTTTTGGTTGGACATATATTTTTTATTTTCTTGGGTGTATATCTGGGAATTGCTGGATCAAATTGTAACTCTACATTAAACTTTCTAAAGAACTGTTAGGTTGATTTCCAAAATGGCTGCACAACCAGTGTATGAGAGTTCCAATTCCTCTACATCCTTGCTAATACTTGTTATTATCTGACTTTTTAATTATAGCCACCCTACTGGGTGTTAAGGAGTGTTTCATTGTAGTTTTCATTTGCATTTTCATAATAACTAATGATGTCAAGCATTTTTTTTCAAATGCCCATTGCTCACCTGCATATCTTCTTTGGAGAAACGTCTACATGAACCCCTTGCCCATTTTTTAAATGGGTTATTTGTCTTTTTATTATTGAGTTGTGAGAGTTCTTTATATCTTCTAAACACAAGTCTCTCATCAGACATGATTTGCAAATATTTTCTTCCATTCATGAGGTTGTCTTTTCACTTTCCAGATAGTATCCTTTGATACATACAAGTTTTTAATTTTGATAAAGCCCAATATATCTGGGTATACTTTTTTTGCTTCGGTGGTTTGGTTTTGTCACTTGCGCTTTTGATGTCACCTCTGAGAAACCATCACCAAATTTGAGATCACAAAGATTTACTCCTATATTCTCCTCTAAGAGTTTTGTAGTTTTAGCTCTTACATTTAGGTCTTCGATCCATTTTGAATTAATTTTTGTATATGCCTTAAGGTGGGGGGTCAAAACTCACTCTTTGCATATAAATATCTAGTTGTCCAGGCACCATTTGTTTGTTAAAAAGATTATTCTTTACCTATATAATTGTTTTAGCTCTCTTGTCAAAATTATGAAAAGCAAGACCCCTATATTTTGTTCTCATGTTTTTATAGATTTTTTTTGTTTCATTTAGATTTATTTTGAAGTATGATGTCAGGTAAAGGTCTGCTTTATTTTCTAAATTGATGGCTAATTGTGACAATATCATGTTTGAATAATGGATTCTCTTTTCTCACTAACTTGAAATCTTACTTTACCACATTCAGTATTCTACATAGCTCTGTTTAAGAATTTCTATTTGGAAAGCTTTATATCTGAGTGTTTATCCTTGTGATATTATCCTTGTTAGCACTAAGACATTTGGGTCTACAAACTTACTCCTTTTTCAGCAATAACATTGCCTTCTGAGTAATTTCTCTCCTCCATCATCTCTCTTCTGTTCTTCCAGAAGATAGAACTATGATAACTTCTGGATACATCCCTTACCCTCAACTTTTGTCTCATGCTCTCTAACTCTTAGTGCTTTTCTATTATTTTCTGGGAGAATTCTTCAATGTAATCTTCACATTAATTTATTCTTTATTTGTGATTTTGTCCATTTCCGAATCCTATACTTGATTTTCTTTTACAAGTGAGTGAATATAACTTCTTTGCACATCTTTCCAAGGATATTAACTTCTTGTATAAGTCATGGGCATGCCTCTGACAGGCTCTGTCTCCATGCCCATATATATCTCCTCATTCTTAACACAACATGCACCCAAGCCAATGGCCAGCACCTGTATTTCTTGGCCTGAGGGCTTTCTTTTGCCTCTGAAGTCCACATTGCTGCCAAAATCGCAGGCTTGAGGGAATGAGGAATTAATGTCCCATAGGAGCAGCCCTCAACCAAATACTGACGGAGGTAGGTATAAAATTACCCCCAGTTCCTTCACCGTCAGATGGGAGAGTCTGACTCATGTGTTCTCCACGGATTCCCAGAGTTTCCCCAGTGGGACCGAATCCCAGCTGCCTGCAGTGGTTGCTGCCCTTCCTGGCTGACTTCCCTTCCCAGGTTCACTTTCTCACTCCCCTCCTGCTGTTGCTTTCACCTCCCAAGTGAATTATTTGCACTTGAAACCTTGTCTCAGGGTCTGCTTTCTAGGGTAGCCCAGACTAAGACACCCTCTTTCTATTAACTCCATTTCTCTGGGCATTAGCTCTTCTCTATTTTTTCTTTAATTCCTGTATTTCCAGTGGTTGGTAATTTTTATTTGTTTATCTTTGTACTTGAGAATTCCTGCTACTTTATCTATTTGAGCTGGGCAGTTCCCCTTGGAGGAAGAGTCATTATGCAATTAAGTATTTCTTTCCTAGCCTCATCTCCTCTTATGCACCCACCCCGCAGGGCCCCGGACCCCAGTTTCTGACACATGCCCTGTTGGTGGGGTGAGGTTGGGGGAAGTACAGGCAGAGAGTAAATATTAGAAACAAGAGAAATGGTATTTGATGGGCACAGATGTCATCTTGTGGTGGTGCCTGCTGAATGTGGTATATTCTCAGTGTGCATTTTTGACACATGGGGAACTTTGATGGGTTTTTCTGAGTTTTGACTGCAAACCTCTGGCCGCAATTTCTGTGATGAACAGGGACAACTGAAGACTCCATGCCCTGACTTGGGGCACTCACACAGGCTTTCTTTGTTGGGAACCATTAGTGTCTAGGAAGACTTCCTGGGCCAAATCCCTTGTAAGCTCCAGGCCAGGTCGCAGATCTAATTGACCCATGGGTAAAAGAATTTACAAAGCAACCAAGTAAACAAAAAACAAACCTTAATCCACCTTTGGGGAAAGCATGGCTTGCTCCCAATGTAGCCACCTTTCCTCACCCTAACCAGAGCCTTTTTAAATCTTTGCATTTCTCAGACAGAGTTCAAACACCAGCCCCTTGTGTTCCCACCAAATTCCAAGGGAAACATGTCAGACTATCCAAGCGGTCCCCTTAGCTGACTTGAAGTAAGGAGGCTACCCTTCCTGCATCTCACTTCTTACCTCAACCTTTTTATAACTTCGAGGTTTCCCTTTTGGTATGGTTTTGGTGATCTTATTTAAGAAATCTTTTCTAGGCAGGAGAATCGCTTGAATCCGGGAGGTGGAGGTTGCAGTGAGCCGAGATTGCACCGCTGCACTCCAGCCTGGGCGACCAAGCAAAACTCCGTCTCAAAACAAAGACAAAAACAACTTTTCCTACCCCAATGCCTGCCATAAAAATATTTGTTTTATTTGGGAGGCCGAGGCAGGCGGATAACTTGAGATTGGGAGTTCGAGACCAGCCTGACCAGCCTGGAGAAACCCTGTCTCTACTAAAAGTACAAAATTCGCCGGGCATGGTGGCACGTGCCTGTAATCCCAGCTACTCGGGAGGCTGAGGCAGGAGACTTGCTTGAACCCAGAAGGCAGAGGCTACGGTGAGCCGAGACTGCGCCATTGCACTCCAGCCTGAGCTACAAGAGTGAAACTTCGTCTCAAAAAAAAAAAAAAAAACTATTCTAAAAGTTTTGTTTTTGACATTTAGGACTTTAATAAAGCAGTACAGTCTTCATTCCCCTTAAAATCACCATGGCCTGGGGAACCCCCATACTCAACTGCTATCTTTCCATGCTTCAGGAAAGGAATGGACTCCAGAAATGGGTAACTTCAGCTAAAACAAGGCAGGTACCACTCAGCTTTGGTTTCAAATTAGAATTTTCTTTTAAGTGTAAAGTGAAATAGTTGTCTTGGGAACTAGAGTTGTTACGAGAGAAATGGTTTCTAGTTTCCAAAATCTCCCTTTTGCAATGTCAAGAGGATGCCTAACCTACTTAAATGATAGAAGTTTCCACCCCAACTTGGAAAAAAGTGAAGAGCTTTTCTAATCTTCACTATAGCAAAAGGAGAAAAGAGAAAGAACTGGAGAAGAGGACCAAGACTTACATCTAATTTCTCCGGCTGGAGGAGTAGAGGGTGGGGAAGAAAGGGGAACACCTCAGAGCTGTCGTCACTCTACCACTTCCTCTGCCACAGACTGTGAGAATGTTGTGTCCTCACATGAACCATACCCAACATGGCATCAGCCACACAGTAGGTGAACCTCACTGCCGGAAGATGCTCATCATAGAAAGGACTGGAGATAGTGTCCCCTGTGTCGCCCCAGTTCACATGTAGATGGAAGGGATCTGGTTCTCCAGGCCAAAGACACTTTTCTTGCTTTGCCATGGATGCATAAGATAGTCTCTGAGAATCCCAAATGTCCCCCGGCACTTGGGCTGCAAACTGAAGACCCTCAGTGCAGCTGATACAAAGCTGCTGGTATGAAGCTACAAATGGGCACATTCTAAGACATTTATGTTTCTCTAGGAAAAATTCCTGGTTTGAAATACTTGTCCTGGACTTAATGTGTCTGTCCAATACTCCCATCATCATTCCTTCTTTAACTCTCCTACCAATTTTAGGGAAATCCTTGAAAGTCCCCAGTAGGAGAAGGGAGTTGCAGAGCTGAGGTGCAGCAGGACTGCCAGGATGAAGCCTGCAGACAGTGATGCACCCTGTAGCAGGTACCACGGGGAGTTCAGCTAATCCGGGATCTGAATGGAAGGCATGAAGGTGATTCAGAGGAGAGCCAACAAATGCCAAGGTCAAGGGTGTTGTGAGGAAAGGGTCATGTTTCCCCAGTTGAGATGCCAGCATGGGCCCTACTCTGTGGCAAGGCCAGAGGGGCACTGCTCTCCTGGCCAGAGAGGACCAGGAGAGGACACTCTGTTATGAGGACAGGCAGTCTTCTCCCTCTACCCAGGTACCATCCTGTCAAGAAGGCAAAGGGAGAGAAGCCATAGAAGTCTAAGCATTTACCTAAGAGAATAAATTCACCCCAAAGATATCCTTTTATAGGAAAGATATTGATTTACCTATCATGGGCAGTTTTTCTCCATCCACAGAAGAATAAGGCCCCAAGCATAAGATGAGATAAATTACAGAAAATCAAGGAAAGTACATTTTCTTTTGAGATGAAAACTCATCTCAATGTAGCATCAGCTCCACTGCATATAATAGACCTGTGATAAATATCTGTAGACACCACCTGGTTCTGGTCTGATCTTTTTTAAATCAGTGTTTAAATGCTAGATTTTATTAACAATATTGATGATGAAATGTTCTTTATCTTTAGCGTCACGGATGTCAAGGAAATACATATGCCCTGCTTTGCACTCGTTTCCAATGCCTGCTGCAGTTACTAGACCAGGGGGTGGAAACACGTAGTTGAAAGTAGAAAGCGCACCACTCCTGCAGACAATCAATTCCTTTACTTAACTGCAATTACAGTGAGAGACCAAAACGTTTATCCTTCTCTTAGCTCCTCTATTTGCTTCTTCCCTGGGAGGCATTGGATGGATGGGCACTTTTAGATGCTGCTGTAGATAGTCTCCCTACAGTAAAAGGCTATTAGTGGGATTGCAAGACAGCCAAAGTTACAGCAAAGTGCAGTTCACTCGTATGCAGGACACGGCATTTTCTAATGGAGCAACGTTAGAGAGTAGACCCAGAGCAGGGCTGTGAGTGCCTAACAATGGCACAATGGAAGGCCCTCAATTATGCTGGACCTTGGCTCTCTGGGTCACGAATGGCCGAGGTAACTGCTCAGCCTGTAAGTGAAGGGACTGTTCAGGCCTCTTAAGGAGTACAGGGAAAAGCTGAAGTTATAGAAAGAAAATAGTAGTTAGAATTGGAATTGTAAAATCAGGTGAAGGAAGGAGAAACTGGCACAAATAGAAGGGAAAACACTATTAGGGAAAATATTTCATTCCCGAAAAGCCAAGCAATACAAAAATAAAAAGAAAAGAAAACCAAAATGTGGCCTGCCCCCTCCTTGCGAACTCACAGGACTATTGCCTAGAACCTGTGCAGAAAGGCCAGCCATTGCATTTCATCCCAAGGGACTGCTTTTCCTCTCACACTCCAGCCCTGGGTTCCCCCAGCTCCAGCATTAGACCATTAGGAATGGCTTGTTTGCAACGTCTAGAGAGGCTACCCTACCCTCATGCAAGCTTAATGAGGTGTTGAGCAATAAGGCCCATATTCCTATTTACAGTTTCTTCTCTCATTTCAAGTCACAGAATACACTATCTTGCAAGCCCCCAAACCCCTGGAAGCAGCCCACCAGACTCAGTACTGAGCTACAGAGAAAAGTTAGTGAAGGAACAATTCCATCAGGCTTAGAGAAACAATGTTCTCCTAATCAGGTTACTTCCTGGCAGTTCCTTACCAGCTGGGCTAACTTCTAGTCAATAAGTTCACAGTGACCTTCGCAGTTGCCAGGAATGCTTAATTGAATACTTGAACAGATAGTAAGTAGAATAAATAGCACATGCACCCTAAAATTGGCAATAGAGTTAAAGAAAGAATGATGCAACTTAGTTTTGGTAGACTGGACGAAAACATTAAGTTCAGAACAAGAATTTTAAACCAGGACACTTCCTAGGGAGACATAAATGTCTTAGAATGTGCTCCTAGTAGCAGCTTTGTTTCGGATGCACTCAGAGTCCTTAGGAAACTTTGAGATGATCAGAGTCTGTCCTATGTATCACATGCAAAATATGGCAGGTCTCTTTGGCCTAAAGAAACAAACAAACAAAAAAAACGGACTTCAAAGTCTGTGGACACAAGCCAGAAGGGGTGGCCCCAGAACTGTCCTAGAGTAGGGTCCAGCTCTCCAGACCCTCAACTCATGTGCTGTTGAATGCTAATTTTGTGCTGGAAGTAATGTTGAACATTTTTATGTGTTATCTGATTTAATATTTCACCAATGCTATGATGTAATTATTACTTTTATTTTTCTCAGAAAAACAAAGTGCAACTTAGGGGGTAGACTAACTTATCCATGATCACACCATGAATAGCAATGGGTAGAGCAGTCTTTCAAATCCAGTCAGTCTGGCTCGAAAACCCATGCCCATAAACACCATACCTTGGAGTCAAAGAATATGTGCTGGGCTGGATGTGGTGGTTCATACTTGTAATCCCAGCACCTTGGGAGGCTTATGCGGGCAGATCATTTGAGCCCAGGAGTTCAAGATGAGCCTGAGCAACAAGGCGAAACCCTGTCTCTACAAAACATACAAAAAATTAGCTGGGTATGTTGGTATGCACCTGTGGTCCCAGCTACTTGGGAGGCTGAGGTGGGAGGATCACTTGAGCCCAGGAGGTTGAGGCTTCAGTGAGCCACATCGTGCCACTGTACTCCAGCCTGGGCAACAGAGTGAGACCCTGTCTCAAAAAAAAAAAAAAATCCCACTACTGGATCTAAAGATGGTCTGATCCAGACACCTTTATTGACCTAGGCCTCAGGTAGCCCGAGATGAATCCCAGGAGCACATCCTAGGAGCCCCCGTCCTAGGTATAAGGATACACTACATTGGAAACATAAACTTCCTGCAAAACATTGCAGTGTGGCTGACGATACCATGAAAAAACAAAAAGAATCATGAACATAGCTTTAGAATCTATGCTTTTATATCTTTTCTAAATCTACAATATATACCAAGAGGCAACGTTCATATTTTATGGATACTTGTTTTTTTTTTTTTTTTCAATCCCTATGGATCTTTTGTTGACATACTGATCACTAAAGTTATTTGTAGATCATGGTTCCACACGGTCCCCAACTGACAAATATTACTTATGGTCTTCTAGGGTCTAATTTCATTATCAATTAAAGGACCATGTATTTACCAGCATGGCTCATTCACAGGTTTTCCCTGGTCTGGCTATTTGGAAAGCTTCACCTTTTAGTGTACAAAGTAGAAAGTGCACACGCAAAAGTTTGCTCTTCTTTTATTTCTGAATATTTACTGCTGGGCTTGGCCAACAAGAGTTTCACAGGCTTCTGTTGCTCTGAGAGGAAGAAAATGTACTCCGGGTTCAGTGCACGCTTTGCACTCGACTGGGAAAGACACGTCAAAGAAAAAAGAGAGACTGCACATGGCCTTTATATGGACCACAGATTGAGAGACAAAGAGCCTAGAATCTTTTAAGACTTTCAGGATTCAAAAATTTGCAACATTTTAGATTTATGATTCTTAAAGTTAAGAACATCTCTGGATATTTCTCCTACCCACCCCCTCCCCCCAAAAAAAACACATTTCTGCAGAAAAACAAAAGGACTGTCTTATGGAATAAAGAATAATCACAATACTGGTAACAACAACAACCACAAAAGCCTGTGAGGCATAAGGTCAGAAGACAGTAAATTAAGGGACAGCAAAATGTGAAACACAGATGAATAGAAATATTAATCCAGCTCGACACTGTGTCTGTGAGTGTCTAACTGAGTGTCTAACTGGAGAAATGGAACACATTCTAGGTGTGTCAAACACAAGAGATTTAATCGAGGAAATGAGTTACATAGATGACAAATGAACTGAAAAGTCAAAGAAGCTACAGTGAAGTAACTGCACTCAGGAAGTGACCATCACTCCTGGAGCCACAGAGCTAAAGGAGGAGGTGATATCCTCACCGGAATCAAGACTCGGCGCCTGCCCCCAAAAGGCAGGCTGGCCAGCATGGGACAGGCCTTGAAGGAAGCAGAGCTGCTGCTGGAAGCGCCACCTGCAACAGAGAGAAAGAGGGAGGGACCTCCTGGCTTCTCCCTCATCCCACCTGCCACTTTTCTGCCAGCACCACCCATTGGTTGAACCTCCCGCATAACCACAAGTTGGGGAAACTGGGGAATCGGACCCCCTGCAATCCAGCACAGAGCAGGGAAGGGCCAGGAAAGGATCCCAGAAGGAACGGGCAAATGGCCAGCACAGAATCTGATGGTTTTCTTCACTTATGAGGAAATAGTTTTATTCAGTTTTCGCTCATAAGAAACAAAATAGCATTTTTCAAAAGTAACCAATTCAAATTTTCAGATGTAAAAATGGTTATTCATAATTCCTTGTATTTAGTAACACAGTCATGCACCACATAAGGATGTTTTCATCAGCGATGGGCCACATATACAATGAGGGTCCTACAAGGTTATAATGGAGCCAAAAAATTCCCGTCACCTAGTGATGGACAGCTGCCATAATGTTGTAGCACACTGCATTACTTGTGTTTCTGGTGATGACGGTGCAAACAAGCTTACTGCACAACTGGTCATATGAAAGTCTAGTGCATAGAATTATACACAGTACATAATACTGAAGAATGATAATAAACAACTATGTGAATGGTTTGTGTATTTACTACCCTATACTTTTAAATCATTGTTTTAGAGTGTACTCCTTCTAATTATTTTTTTTTAAGTTAACTGTAAATAGCCTCAGGCAGGTCCTTCGGGAGGCATCCAGAAGAAGGCTTTGTTGTCAAAGGAGCTGACAGCTCCATGCTTCTTATTGCCCCTGAAGAACTTTCAGTGGGACAAGGCGTAGAGGTGGAAGACAATGGTGTGGGTGACCCTGACTCTCTATAGGCCTAAGCTAATGTGTATGTTTGCGTCTAAGTTTTTAACAACAAAAACATTTTAAGCTAAAAACAATAAAAAAGTTGAAAAAAGCTTACAGAATAAGGATATACAGAAAGAAAATAATTTTTTAGCATATAATGTACTTATGTTTTAAGTAAGTGTTGTTATAAAAGAGTCCAAAAGTTTGTAAAACATTGAAATGTTCATGAAGTTAAAAAGTTACAGGAAGATAAGGTTAATTTATGACTGAAGAAATAAAAACGTTCATATATTTAGTGTAGCCTAAGTGTACAGTGTTGATAAAGTCGACAGGAGTGTACAGTAATGTCCCCGGCCTTCACATTCACTCACCACTCACTCACTGACTCACCCAGAGCAACTTCCAGTCCTACAAGCTCCATTCAGTTGTCCTAATCAGGTGTAGCATTTCTTAATCTCTTATGCCATGTATTTACTGGACCTTTTCTATGTTTAGATATGCAATACCATTGTGTTATAATTGCCTACAGTATTCAGTACAGTCACATGCCATACAGGTTTGTACTCTAGGAGCAATAAGCTAGACCATATAGCCCAGGTGTGTAGTAGGTTACACTATCTAGGTTTGTGCAACCACACTCTACAGTGTTAATACTATGACCCAGTTCTCAGAATGTATTATTTGCTCTCAGAAAGAAAAAGAATGTGTTGCCCAAACACATGTCCTCCATTAACTAATTGGCCATCAACTCTTTTGAAGTTTTTTTCCTTGACCCATATCTCTCCCGGGCTCATAGAACATCTTTCTGAAGGAAGGAGTCAATGAAAACAGTTTTAGTAACTCCTTTTTCTTCTACCCCCAGAGCTGAAAGGGATTATTATTGGCTTTATTAGCGGTTAAAAATAAAAATTATTACTGATTAGTAAATCTCACATTTATTTTTAATTATCAGGTAGCATTGAATGCAAAATCAACTGCCTTGTTAGCTTTTAGTGAAATCCTTTTAAAAGGCACAACTGAAAATACATCAGAAAAAAAATCTTTAATGTGAATTTCCTGGGACCCCATGTCTACTCAGCATTTCCCTTTATTCCAATTGTACTGGGTCACCTGCTGCTTCAGCAGAGAGTCCCTCATGCCTTTGATCACTACACTGATGGGGCTTTTATAACACTTGATATTTATAATCAGAGAGCTGCATGCAGGTTATTGTTACATATTCAGAATGTGCTTTTCCTTTCAATGAGAATGAGAATTATTCCCCTGATAACAATAGGAGTGATGGAGGTATTCAATGGCAAAAGTGAGGTTCCAGTAGGACCACCATGAATGTAAGTGCCCGGGACAGGATCCTGCTTAGTCCAGAATGATGGACATAGGCTGGTATCTACTGAAGAGGAAAATGAAATGAGATCACATGAAATGAAGGCAAACTTTTATCTACTACAGAGAAAGAACCTCCTGGGAAAATATGGGCCTGCTAGGAAATAGTACTGGGTATCAAAGGTGATTTCTGTTTCCTGTAGTCAGTTCTGAACTAATTCCCAGAATGGCATGAAGGGATGCCAATTTGAACAGAAGACAAACTGTGCTCTCTGTCCATTTGAAATCACATCACCTACAAGAGTAATACAAATGGCTTGGATTTTTTATAGTCACTTACTTCTAAGGAGGTCCAAGGGCTTCCTACCCATGATCTCATTTACTAGCAAACTGTGAACTCTATTCTCCCACGTGCAAGAGAAGTGCCACTTCCCTGGGTAGAAGAGAGAGAGGAACTTCCTCTACTCCTCTCTCTCTATTTAACTGTCTCTGGACAAGCAAAGAGGAAAATATGCTGGCTGTGCCCAAACCAGTGTCATGAAAACAGCAGGGCCTTTCGAGCCAGAAGACAGGTACTTGATCCGGGCTTGCCCTGCCACTTTTCATCTGGGTAAAGTTGGCCGAGTCATTTAACCTTACTGGGCCTCGGTTTCTTTGTCTATAAAATGGGTACAGTGACTCCTTCCCTGAAGTATTGTTATGTGAAATAGAACTAATACAGGTAAAATGCCTCAAACAATGGTTGACGTATACTTGATGTTCAATAAATAGTATCATTTGTGTCTATTATATATTTAGTTGAGCCAAAGCCCAATATCAAGCCCGCTTCTTTTCTTCCATTCCTACTCTGCCATTTTCTCTCTTTCAAGCTCACTTTGGTGAGAATTTAGAAAAGTGGCAGAGCAGAAGCATAGACCTGCCCAAGAAAAGCCCAGGCTAGGAGTTTTCCTACACTAATCATAAATGTACACAGGGGGCAGGGCCCCTCCTCTTCACCTTTCTGCTCTTACATGAGAAAGGCCGCATTCGTCCAATGAAAGTCATTCAACCTGTATTCCCAACCTTATAGCTGTCAGGGAGGTACAGTAATTTCCAGAGAAAAAAAAGATAAAAATCTACCTTTAAAAACTCCCTAATGTTAGGAATCTAGAACATTAGTTATTGAAAATTGGTGTGGCTTGCCAAATAGATCTCAGACATACTAACATCCTAAATGTCTGTCTCATTGGTCCCTGCAATATCCAAGGCACTGTCTAGATCCTGAGAGCCAAGGTCCTCCCTTTGAGAACCTCACAGTACAGTGGGAAAATAATCCTTCTACACGTATGGGAAATAGAGTGAACACTAGCCACAGGCTTTTCTTCTTTCCCAGCCAACCCCAGCCTGCTGCAGAATTGAGCTGAGGGAGGTGAGTGATGGTATTTAGAGCCCTATTTTGTCATTCAGCATTTTAAAATTATGTCCTAAGAATTTTAGAAGAAGAGTAACTATTAGCTTTGGAAGAAAATCACATATAAATCACCATTGTTGCGTTACTTTTTCCCCCTGAACTCCCCCCTGGCTTTACAAATTAGTTCTCACATTACTTACTAAAGTACTCTGAACTTTATAAACACAATACAACTTAATTATCCCTTTCTAAAGTGGTTTCCACAGTTTAAAGAGTCTTTGAATGAAAGTATATTTTCACAGCTGTATATTCACACAGAAAAATCGCTATTGTTATCATCATCATAAGTTTCATGGGATGTTTTTTGGTACCAAATATATTTATTTTCTAGAGAACAACAATAAAAACCATGTTTTTACATGCCTTCAGTGCAGTTTGAACACCAGTGTTGCCAATGAGTTTGTAGAGAATGTGTTCCTAATAGACACAGCCCTCTTTGCAGTTGTTTGGAAGCATTCCCCAAACCCTCTAGAAACTTAACATCAAGGGACCCAAACCTCCTTCTCTGTACGGATGCCATTCTGTGGGATCCACTCTGACACCTTCTACACAGATTGCATGAAAGGTATGTCCTGTCTGCTTTGGCTGGTTATCATTCTTGTTTCAGAATGATTTCAGAAAAGACCATAAGCTTGTGGCAGAGTGAATTTGTGATCTTATCCAATCATCTGGGTTGTTTGCAAAACTTCAGTAGGTGGCAGCGTTTTGTTGATAAATGTTTTGTTAGCCAAGTGATCTCATTTAGTGCAACTGTTGCAATATTAATAAACTGAACTTATGATCGTGTTTGCCAGGACTGAAAATATTGCCTTTCTATCCAGCGGGTGCTCTTATCTGAACTGACAGCAGCATTCATTGTCTTAGAGATGAAGCGGGGGTGGTGTGATTGTGTGTATGCTCTTATAAGGAGAAAGTGATGGAGGCAGAGAAAAGGGTTAGGAAGGGAGGCTGGAGAGAAAGAAAGAGGATATAAAAGAGCTATGATGAGATGCCTTGCCCACTACCTGGCTGGTTCTGACAAAACTCTGGGCTGCCTCAAGTGTTCACTCCTTCCTTGGGTGCCCTTTGTGGCTCACAATGACCTGCAGGTGGTCCCTGAGATCCTAAGGACACTAGGTCATGGTCGCCTGCTAAGCAGCAGCTCAGACCCTTTGCAGCAAACATGGGGAGGCTCACAAGGGCTAAATACCCCAATACCCATTCATGAGGTCACACGAGAGTGCTCCAGATATGTCCCCAAGCTTACCAGGGCTGGGAAAGACAATGTTCCATTACCTCTCTGAATTAAAACAACTTCTGCCAGGCCTATTGTGACCAACCAGGACAGCTCCAGAGTGGCCTCTAGAAAGACGGGGATGGGGGCAGCAAATCCTTCACCAAAAGCTCCCACCTGTCACTCAAGGCTCTTCAAATCTGACCCAATCAATCTCTGTCACATCCGTTTTCTTCACTCTTCTCTGCAAGCCCTCCTTTAAGGGATGGGAAGCCCTGGCCAGTAAACAGAGAACTGAGGACACTTCAGAAGTGTCTGCTCTTTCTCAGAAGACCCCAGAAAGCCACCCACACTCAAAAGTTTTCAGGGGCACCTTGGCTAGGATTTCAGGAGGATCCCTTGTGGGAATCACATATATTGAGCCCAGAATACGCCTTTTAATTTTTTCAATTCCAGAACCTCGCTCCTGCTGTTCTCTTTGCCCCGCTAGAGATGCCCTTTATTCCATCCCCTTCACCTGTCAGCAAGATGAATTCCAGGAGTAGATTCAAGTCCTCCCTCAGTGATAAAGGTTCTCTGATCGCCCCAGCTGGACTGGATATCTTTGTTTTATGAAGACTCACTGCAATTATTGCTATGCCAACTGAGCGGCCTTTACTGCCTCATAACAGCAAGGAAACTTGTCATTGCAGCATCTGGGCTGCAACCTCTGAAAGCAGGAGGCCCATGTCATGCATGTGCTTAGAGGTACTCAGTTAAAGCTTAGCCAACGCATCATTTGCACTGCTTTTCGTTGACACCTTTCACACCACTTATTTTTACTTTGTATTAAAATTATAAAAACACTGTACATATAAAGCCTGCTTTCCTCTGCAGACTCTAAGCTCATTACATGCAAAAGCCTATCTGAATTATCTTTGTCTATGCTGAACACCTCGAACAATGGCATAACAAAAATGTCCTTCGATTAATTGATGCCTTTTTATTCAAATTAACTTGCAGTCGGTCTCATTGCTACCACAGAAGGACTCTTTCAGTTCTCTTTGTAAAGTCATTCCTCTGAGATAACCATGGTTAAATTCTTCACCAAGGAAAGATCCCCGCACATCATTTCAGTAATCGTAGCACAAGACCCAGGCCTCTGAACAGTTACAGTAATGACTAACTGAACCGGTAAAACATTAAAGATCTCCTTTGCCTCCAAGTTGGCATAAAGCCTTTTACTTAACACCAGTTAGTAATCTTTCTTATTTCTATTTATATATTTCCAAAGCAAAAAGATGACCATTTAAAAGGAGATTATCTCTTTCTGCCTTGTCAAATCCTATTAAAATCAATTAAGAATTTTGGAAGACACTATAACTGGTAACAGAATATGTTAATATTCCCATGGGGCCCAAAAAAGCACATTATCTTCCCTGAGAGTACCCCAAGTTACTAGTCGGCCGATGTAGAATCAAATCAATTTCCCTTGCCCAATGCCTACTGCCCAATATGAGACGCTTTTCTAACACTGCTTTATTAGTCAGTTCATCATGTCAGAATGAGTTAGAGAACTTTAAGAGTACATGATCTCCCATGTGTACAGATTATCACCATTATGTTCAAATATTTGCCTCAAATTCACAGTGAGCAGTGATGTGCATGCTGAAGGTTTTACAGAGTTGGAAGGATGACATGCTTTGGAGAAAGGATTTGGATGCTAGGAATAGTTGAGCAATCTGCATTTATAAAGCAACCATTAATTCTGGCCATTCTCTTAAATACATAGTATGAGATGGGAAGGAAAAGCAAGGGGCTCTGGTGGCTTTATTTATTTATTTATTTATTTTGATACAGAGTTTTGTTCTGTAGCCCAGGCTGGAGTGCAGCAGCATGATCTCGGCTCACTGCAACCTCCACCTCCTGGGTTCAAGTGATTCTCCTGCCTCAGCCTCCTGAGTAGCTGGGATTACAGGTGCCTGCCACCATGCCCGGCTAATTTAGTATTTTAGTATTTTGTATTTATTTTGTCATGTTGGCCAGGCTGGTCTCAAACTCCTGACCTCAGATTATCTGGTTCCCAAAGTGCTGGGATTACAGGCATGAGCCACCGTGCCTTGCCTCTAGTGGCATTAAGTCCTCCAAATACATCGTCCAGGTACTTCTGTGCTCTATAAAAATATGCTTTATAAAATTTTCAGAGGTTTGGAGTGAGGAAACAACTATCCTTCAACTTCTGCCCCATAACCTAAAAATTGCATTCCTTCATAGAATACTGTAGTTAAATAATTGTCTTTCTTCCACCCTACCTTCTGCCGCCTAAACCAACCAGTGCCCCCATGTGCACATGCACGCTACACACACATACACACTCCGTAATATCCTTGAATCCCTAGAGCTTTCTCACCACAAGAGCTACAGATTCATGAGAAAGCCAAACGTAGAGTTCAGCTCTACTTTCTTTAACAAAGATACTCCCAATGTGCATCCTATAGAAACAAACTAGTGTGGGTGCTCCCACCGCAGACAGATCCGTAATCATACTCACTTAAGACTGAACCATCATTGTTGTTTCAAATGTCTTCACTAACCAATGAAATCATGCTCATTCATTCTGCTTCAAACTTCCAAGCCGTGTTTCTTTGGAAACTTTGCATCCAAGCTGACCTACCCATAGTTCACTTCAGGTCATCATGAAGATAGTCAAGTCCCATCAGATAATTGGCTATCACATTCAGGGAACAACGCACTGCTCCATGCTTCAGCCCACACAAATCCCAACTTGTTGAAGCAATTTAAACAGCTACACTATGGACTGAAGAAAAAAAGTGCATCGCAGAAAATTTCAATCCCTTGGCTGGGATGGCATAAATGAACTACCTAATTATAGGAGACCAAGCAGAAGTGGTTTGCATAAGTTGTTCCCATAACTATTTGTCCCTCCTTTTGTCATCTTCCATGTAGGGGCACCATTATTACTGGGGAATTAAAGTTATTATATAGTGGATAGTCTGCTAGTATCCTATTTTTTATATTCAGCAATCACCAGCCTAATGGAATGTCTAGAATTCACACTGCCAATCTGACAACTTGACTGGGCACTGGATGTGTTGGAAGCACAACTCCTAATTTTAGGATGTAGCCTTATAACATGGCATCCTATGGAAAGGAGGAGAAGAGCCTGATTATCAATTTGAAAATTCTTAGTATTTTCTTATTAGTGATGAAACCTTAAAATCTGACACCTTGGCTAGTTCTCTCAAGATGTCATTATTTAAGTCATTCATTATTAGAGCATCGACAATCAAAAGAAATTAATTTCATATCAGCATGGCCCTATTTGTCTGGCAGAAAGTGACATTGCAAAATTCATCACAAGAACAACTTTCACTTCATAATTGAGAGAAGTTGCGTGGTTGTCTTGAGTCCAAGAAACCAGCTGAGAGACATGCCAGAAGGAGTAGTGGGCAGGAGACAAAAATCTGGGTACCAGCTCCATTTCTATTCTAAATTAGATGCCTTTATGTAAATCACTTTTCTTCTCTGGGCTTCTGTTGTCTTACCGGCAAGATAAGGCCAGACATTTGCTAAGGGCTCTCCAGTTTTAACATTCTGTGATGCTATTAGCATTCTATGGTACTTAACGCAGGAAGTCACAGAGATTGCGCTTGACCATGAAAGCCTACAGAATTTCTGGAATCTTTTTAAACAGATATGAACCAAAGGTGACCAGCTGGTCAGCATGCTGACAGGAACAACTTGAGTTACGCCCACAAAGGAGTCGACTTGACTCGGTGATAGTGGTGAGGGGGAAACTACGACTCTCAATGAAAGTTCAGGAAGGTGCTCAGTGTTTCATCATGTATGTGTAGCACCAACTCTGGAGATAATTTTGAGGTGAATACATCTTAATTTTGGCCCACCACCTCTCCTGCACCTCTTCCTCACTTTACTTGCCTTCCAAGTTTCCAGGACCTTTAGTGTTAGAATGTGTTTGGGGTAGATTGGAATTGTCACATGATGTTTTTACATTAATCTTTTTCTTGCAGACTCTTTTCACTCCAAATTCATGATCACTAATCTCAAAAAGGCCCTAAATGCTGTCTGAAAGTCATGCTAGATGCTCCATTCCATTAACTTTTTACTCCCCCAATTATGTCCTATCTTCTCAAAGCACTAATGCTTCCTCTCTCATCTCTTCACTCTCATCTGATCAGTTTGCTTCCTACACTAGGTAGAAAATGGAAGCCGTTAGTTGGGTACTTCTACAAGCTCTTACCGCCATATTCAACTACCTACCTGCAGCAATGCCCACGTATCTTGCTTCCTTTCCTCACAGCATGGGGGAATGCAGCTCTCTGAACTAAGACCAAGCCCTCCACATTTCCACTAAATCTCAACCCTTCTCACCTACACAAAGGCATTTCTTTAGCAATTTTCCCAGCTGTCAGCTGTTTTTTCCAGTTGTTTTCCTGTTTCATGGATTATTGCCTTCAGCACACAATTATTTTCACCATCTTATGAAAGAAAACAAAAAGAAATACTCACAAAACCCCACTTTTCTCTCTACGTTCTATTTCTTTGCTCTTCTTTACAGCAAAACTCCTTGAAAGACTTGTCTATACTTACTGTCTCCAACTCCTCTTCTCTTACTGTCTTAAAATCAGCCTAATTAGGCTTTCACCTGTATCAATGCATCCATTCCACTCAAGTTTCTTTTGTCAAGGCCAACAAAGACTTTCACATTGCTAAATCCTATCATCAATCCTCAGTTTTCATCTTACTTGATTCTTCAGCTCCTCCTCCTCCTGCTTGAAACACTTTCTTCATTTGGCATCCATGACACAAGACTACCTTGGTTTTTCTAACACCCCATGGTCCTCTGCCAGTTCTTCCACATCTTTTCGATCATCTCTCTTCAACCTTCTATTTTTGGTGTGCTCTGAGGCTCAGTCCTTGAATTATTCTTATCTATGCTTTTATTTTACTTTAAACATCACATATATGCTAACAATCTCTGATTTTTTTAATCACCAGCTGAGATACCTCCCCTAAACTCTAGACTCTAATATTCAATTGCCTGTTAATATTTAGAAATATAGCAGAATTACAGATTGAGCATGTCCAAAACTAAATTCCTGATGTTCGTACTTAAATCTGTACCATCTCAGTACAGGCTACTTCATCCTTTCAGATGTTTAATCAAAAATCATGGAGTTTTCCTTGACCTCTCTCTTTCTCTCACTGTCCACATATGATCAGTCAACAAATCTCATTAGTTTTACCTTCTAAATATACTGAGAATAGAATCACTTCTCGGACCCTCTCCCACAATCACCCTGATCTGATATAATATCATGTCTCAGTTGAGTGACTGCCATTGCCTTCCTGCAGGCTTTTCTGCTTCTATCTTTGCTCTCTACATACCATGGCCAATACAGTAACCAGACTGATTCTATTATGAGGTAACGTAGATGAGGTCCTTCCCCTGTCTCAAATCTTGCAAAACTTGTCATCTCATTCAGATTAGAAACCAAAACCTTCTCTATCAGCTACCAGCAACCAAGTAATCTCCCTCTTCATCATTAATTCACTGATCTCATCTTCTAGTATCTCCTCCCCATTTCTCACTAAGCTCCAACCACTTGCCATGTCGACCTCCACACCTGGCACCTTGCTGCCTCCAGGCCTTGTACCAGCTATACCCTTTGCTGGAACACTGTGTCTCTGGCTTGCTGCTATGTATTTTTCATGTATTTGTTCAAATGTCACTTTCCCAGTAATGGCTACGTGGCTTGCTCCTTATAATTGGTAATTACAATCCACTCCTTTGCTCCACTGCCCATACCCAATTCATTTTTTCCCATAACAAGAGTAACCTTCTAATATACTACACTAGTAACTTTCTAATAGTAACCTTTGAATATATTTCTAATATTCTACAGTAGTAACTTTATAATAATAGTAACCTTTGAATATACTAGCAATAGTAGCCTTCTAATAGTAACCTTCTAATATACTAGCAATAGTAACCTTATAACAGTAATATTCTAGCATACTACCAATAGTGACCCTAATATACTATACTTCTAATATACTACATATTTATACTATTTACCCTATTATAATATTTTATCCTATTATAGGGTATAATAATACCCTATATTATTACACTATTTGGTCCCACTAGAAGGTAAGCTTTGTAAAGACTGAGTCTCTGTTTTGTTGACTGCTATATCTTCAGCAACTAGAAAAGTTCCTGGCACATAGTGGGCACTCGATGTCACTGAATAACTGAATTCCTTCCCTATTGCCCAATAATATTCAGGTATGATACTTTATGATTATCTGCCTTAATATAAATTGGGGGGGTAGATGTTTGAAGAAACTAATGTTTTAATCTAAGTATTTTATATGTCGTGAATATGGTCTTATTTCATTTTGAACTGTGGAAAGGCCATAGATTTGAAGCCACATTGGACTGATATCAAATTCTGGTAGTGCTGCTTATCACCTGAAGAGTGTTCAGAAAATTTTTTGAGCCAATTATGAAATTGATATAATGAGGGAGCCTGCTATTTAAGGTTTTTGAAAAAAAAAGATGAGCTTGGATTTACATAAAGGATGTAGCACAGTGTCAGGTCAGACTAGCTGCTCAATAAAAGTCATTCTGGATGTTTGAATTGCATGAAGTACTCAGGTGTGCTAGGACTCATATAAGGTTTAGTATATCATCCTCTTTCCCCAAGAGAGCACTTTGATGCAAAGGATAGAATCTTACAGGGAAAATTTCTAGTATCAGCAATAATGAAGGAGATTTTCACTGGTGTTGAAAGGAGAGACAAAAGGAGAGAGATAGGGTAGGAAGAGCACTCTCCGGGGACTCCTCACACCTCATGGAAAACCACTCTCATCAGAACCCACTGTGCCTACCTGTGCCATAATAGAGTGAGAGGCTGATTCAAGAGCTCATCTGTGACTCCAGTAACACAGAGAAGGACTGTCTTTGAAGATTAACATCCTACTAGCGTGTCCCCCAAAGAGATTCATGCTGAAAGAGAGAAAAGACAAGCATGCAGGGGAGGGCAGAGTTGAAGAGAGACAAGAAACAAAAACTAGAAATCATTTATTGTGTCATAATTCCTGTATTAACACCTGAATGGCTAACATGCATGCCCTGAGGCATGTTAAATGAGAAATTTCAAAGACTGTAAATATAAGAAAAATGAGAACATTCGACCCTAACAGTTGGGATTCACAGGCAGGCAGGCAGCAGTTGGTACATATAAGCCCACACAAGTGGAGAGACACTTGTTCCCAACATCCCCCTCTCTTTAATAAGCCAATAAATATTGATTCTGACCTGGTTGCCACTTGTTCTCCTAACATCTTCTTTCATTCCAAGTCTTCTCGAAACTATAAAAAGCTAATTTCCAGATTCCCAATCTGGCCAGAAGGACTCAGTTTTTCAATCAGATCTCCCAGAGGCCTGAGAGCAATCATTATGAATGAGAAAAGGCATTTTGTATTCTCCCCAGCTTGCTCGCAGACAGAAGGAGCAGGGCTGGTTACCTACGGAGGTAATGCTGAAATTAAAACACTTGTACCTGCTACGCATCTTGGACAGATCAAAGAAGACGCTGGGCAGCAGCCCGACACCCAAACAGAGGGTCAGCCGTCATCGTAAAGTGCAGCTTTCAGGTTAACCTTATGATCAAAAAGTTAAAAATCATCCTCGTTTCTCACTGCCAGGCTTTTATCTCAGGCAATACAGTTCCAAAGAATGTGATTTTGAACAACATACATGACGACTAAATTTGAGTTTTAGAAAAACATACAACTGGAAGGAGAAACTTGACCTACATTTTGAGGCAAGTTTTCATTTCTTAGAGTTCCTCAGTAATCGATAAGAATGTATTGAGAAGCTACTGTACACTTAGCACTGTTGAAGTAGGTCATCTGGGCACAGATGAGAATTACCAGACAGTTCCCTAACTCAAAGAGATTTCACTAATTGAAAAGACAGAGAAGCGTGTGCACTTAGAGGTTGGTTCTTAACATTTTTGGGGTCATGGAGCTCTTAGAGAATCCAGTACCAGTTACAGAGGTCTGTTATAGAAAAATTCAATTCTTTACCACATTTCAGAAATTCTACATATCTCACGGACCCCTCTATGGCCCCAGATGAGGTTAGACTTCCCATCACACTTTCCCATAGCACCTTTACCTCCTCTTTGGAAGCACATATCATATGTTTAAAGTGTGCATTTCCTGCGTTGTCACTGGCACCTAGTAGAGTTCTCTCACATAATAAATATTGTTGAATAAATAACTGAATCAATAAGCTTAAGAATGCCTGCATTAGACAGTCTAAGAGGCAGAGCATTGATGCTGAACAGTTCAGGCTTTTCTTAGGTATAATAGATTATAGTAATAGAAAGTTCTTGTGAACTAGAGTGTTAAAAAAGGCATCGTGAGGCCAGGCGCGGTGGCTCACACATGTAATCCCAGCACTTTAGGAGACCGAGGTGGGCAGATCATCTGAGGTCAGGAGTTCAAGACCAGCCTGGCCAACATGGTGAAACCACGTCTCTACTAAAAATACAAAAATTAGCTGAGTGTGGTGGCACACGCCTGTAATCCCAGCTACTTGGGAGGCTGAGGCAGGAGAATTGCTTGGACCTAGGAGGCGGAGATTGCCATGAGCTGAGAACATGCCACTGCACTCCAGCCTGGGCGACAGAGCAAGATTCTGTCTCAAAAAATAAAAAATAAAAGAAATAAGTAAATAAGACATCATGAGAGGATTTGAGATTTGATCTGGAACTTGACTAATAGAGAGGATTTATATGGGGACAGCAAAGAAATGAAAAAATCATATCACCAAATCATGACCTAAGAATGAGGACCTCTTTTGGTTGGAGAATGAATTGGTGTCCTGGACTGGAGAATCAAGATATCAGCTGTTCTCTAGCTATGATGGAAAAGGAGCCTTAAAAGAGAGAGAAAAGAAAAAGGATACCTGGGGTGCCTGGAATCAATGAAAATCACAACACCTGGAGTTGGAAAGCTGGTAAGAGCCAAGGGAATCCTAACATTTGGACGATTTGGATCACAGACCAATCTGTAACTCTGCTGCAATGAATCTCTTCTCCCAAAAGGCTTTTGCATTGTTTGACCAAATTCTGGGGAGACAGCACTGATAGGAAGAACTTATGTGGTTACATGTCTGGCCCACGTGTACCAGAAACACATAAACAGAAGATTCGCCCCCACAGCTTCTGTAGTTAGAGGTGGCAATGAGACGTAGGCACAGAGGAGACACTAAGAATTGCACTCCTACAAACTCATTGATCCATTTGTTGATTCAGCTGGAAGTCAGGTGCTTACAGGAAGTGGAGGAACAAGCCAATTACATCCTATGTAAAAATAGGCATGATAATAACAACTGCTTAAATGTTTGAGGAAAATTATATTACTATTAGGTTGGTGCAAAAGTTATGTGGTTTTTGTCATTGAAAGTAATGGCAAAAACCACACTTACTTTTGCACCAACCTAATAAATAAGATAATCCAATGAAAGCTTTTAGCTTGCTACTTGGTATATGCCCGATAAATGTCTATTATTGTTGTTATCATATTATTTGACTAGATACGTATGATAAGATTTGGGCACCCAAATGTATTTAACCTCAGGCTCTAGATGTATCTTATATTTAGTTCTACATCCTGAAGACACAAGAGGGAAAAGAAGAAAGCAAATGGTGAATCGGTGAATGCTACAGAGAAACTCACTTACTCACACACTTTCTAAGAAAAAGATAACCAGTAGCATCACCCTCCAGAAGAATGCAACCTAATATCTCCCAAAGCCTAGAATCGATCTTTCCTTATTCTTTTCCTACTGCTTCAAAGTCTAGGCGAGTTGCTTACCCACAGGAGGGCTCTCCCAGATGCACGCTCTCCCCTGTTTACCACAACTCAGTTGCCCTCTAATCTACCATTTGAGTGTGAGTTTAACCAAAATCTAACCCAACATAACTTAGATTGGGTATACGCAGAGCAATGTAGAGTCATATAAAGATTTAATTAAACATTTTAAATGTTATTTGCCTAACACTTCTTTATGTTTCAGAGTCCTGCCTCTGTGATACAGTCACATACCACATAATGATATTTCAGTCAATGATGGACTACATATTACACATTAGTCCCATAAAATGATGATGGCACTGAAAAATTCCTATGGCCTGGTGGCATCATAGCCATCAAACTGTCATAGTGCAAAGCCTTGCTCATGGGCTTGGGGTGATGCTGGTGCAAACAAACTTCCTGTGCTGCCAGTTGTATAAAAGTCTAGCACACATCAATATGTAGAGTATACAATATGTGATAATGATAATAAACGACTGTGTGATGGGTTCATGTATTGACTATACTACACTCTTAATTGTTATTTTAGGGTGTACTTCTTCTACTTATTAAAAAAAGTTAACTGTGAACAGCCTCAGGCAGACCCTTCAGGAGGTATCTAGAAGAAGGCATTGTGATCATAGGAGATGACAGCTCCATGTGTGGCATTGCCCCTGAAGACCTTCCAGTGGGACAAGATGCGGGAGAGCTTGAAGACAGTGATGCGGATGATCCTGACCCTGAGTAGGCCTAGGCTAAAGCGTGTGTCTGTGTCTTAGTTTTTAACAAAAAAAGTTGAAAAAGTAAAAAATAAAATAAAATGTTTTAAAAATAGAAAAAGGCTTATAGAAAGATATAAAGAAAAAATATTATGTATAACTGTACAATGTGTTTGTGTTTTACATCTTATTACCAAAGAATGAAAAAGTTAAAATAAATTGAAAAGTTAAAAGTAAAAAAGTTACAGTAATCTAAGGTTAATTTATTATTGAGAAAGTAATTTTTTAAATAAATTTAGTGCAACCTAAATAGTGTACAGTATTTATTAAGTCTACAGTAGTGTACACTAACGTCCAAGGCATTCATATTCACTCACCACTCACTCACTGACTCATCTAGAGCAACCTCCAGTCCTGTAACCTCCATTCATAGTAAGTGCCCTATACAGGTGGACCATATTTTCTTTTATACCATATTTTTACAGTACCTTTTCTGTGTTTAAATATGTTCAGACACACAAATGCTTACCATTGTGTTACAGCTGCCTACAGCATTGAGTACAGGAACATGCTGCCCAGGTTTTCAGCCCAGGAGCCACAGGCTACAGTGGAGTAGGCTATCCATCTAGGTCTGTGTAAGTGCACTCTGTGATATTTGCGTATCAGTGAAGTCATCTAAGGACACACTTCTCAGAACACGTCTCTATCATGAAGCATTGGATGACTGTATATTCTCACACTTCCTCCCATGCTTCTTGAGGGCAGGATCTTCACTTTCAAGCAGCAACATAATCCTATCCCATGGGAGGGAGAGTGTGACTAAGCCTTTTTCACTCACGCTCTAATTGGTCTCCACCATTTCTTTTTATTATTATTTATTATTTTTTTATTTTATTTTATTTATAATCAGGATTTTATTTTGGAATAATATGTTCTCACTCATAGGCGGGAACTGAACGATGAGAACACTTGGACATAGGGCGGGGAACATCGCACCCGGGGGCCTGTTATGGGGTCGGGGGAGGGGGGATGGACAGCATTAAGAGAAATACCTAATGTACATGATGAGTTGATGGGTGCAGCACACCCACATGGCACATGTATATATGTATGCAACAAACCTGCATGTTGTGCACATGTACCCTAGAACTTAAAGTATAATTTAAAAAAAAAAGAAAAAGAAAACATTTTCTAGAAACTAGGTCTTCACCATTTCTATAATGGATGCAATTCACCTCAGAGAAAAGTCTCTACCATCTTCTTTACTATATTCCTCCTCTTCCTTTGACACTGGAAGAGGGTGGGTGATGGGAAGGACGAGGGATACATAGACAACATTGTTGGGATTTGGGGAATGAAGGCAAAGCAGAGAAGAAGTAGGGAAAACCTTATACTGCTTTCCTTTTCCAACTTCCCATACCCTAGCCCCTTACCATAAATAATGGGAAGCAACATGACTGACTGAATCAAAGGCTATGAATAGTTTTTCTCACCCTCATTAAGACAAACACACTGAATATTAAGTTGCAACCACCTTCATAAGCGCATGTTACTTAACAGCCAAGGAGTAGTTACAAAGCTTTTCACATATTCTTAAAAGCATCCAATACAGTAAAACCTTGCATGCTTACTCAAAAGATACTGTGCTGAAAACAGATCCCATCCAATAAGGTGAGAATACTCAACTCCTTATTTACGGCTAAAGATGAACAGACTTAGGCCCATGATGTATGCTTATAATGATTTTCTATCATCTTGATTTGCCCATATACAGCCTTCTCTAAATCAGCAAAGAAGGACATTATCAAAAGCATATGGAGTGTCAACAAAGACTTAATCCAAAAATCAGGGAATATTCTGAAAGTACAAAGCTGATGATCACTCACAAAGATGTTGATGTCCTTATGTCTATTCATTTATCTGTTTGAATCAAAGGGTTAGTGGAGGAGGAGGGGGAAGGATGGGAGAAGCCTAGGCATGATTAACAATAGGTGCAAGACAGGATGAGCTAGATTAAACTGCTCCATATGCAAATTATACAAGTCTGATTGCATCAAACCATGCCCAGTTTAATGAGTACAGTAAGACGCCTTTATCTCTGCTTGGATATGTTCCTAAAAGGAAGACTGCTCCCAGATAAAGCACGGTTTAATAAGAAGATTTTTCATTACAGAGTCGATGAACATTTGCATATCTCTCCCTGAGCTTGGGGCCTCTTCTCTATGTTGTGTCTCAGTCTCTTTCAATCTCTCGCCTGTTTTTCTCTCCCTCTGTCAAATTCCCTCCCCTTGCACCCACCAGCCTGTCTCTTATTCACATGGCTATTCTCATTCCTCATTTTTTTTTTCGTAAACTGAAGTCAGTAAACATTTGCATGTTGTTGGCATATATTTTAGGAATGTGTATACTCAGTGCAAATTAAAGAGAGTCCTACACAGATGAGATTAAAATCTTTAAAATATGATTTGAGCAGTTATTTATCTCAGAGGGTTTTCAATTTGTTTAACATTGCCATGTTTTAAAAATTCTGCAAGTGGTTATTTAAATATGTTCTGGTAATTTACTATTTATATATTTCTTTTAGTTTTGTTTTTTATTTTCAGCTCACTGAATTGGCGTGTAGGTTTAGAACACATGTTAGGAGCACAAGCTTTGGAGTTTGCAGCCCTGCTCTACAGCCTACACACATGTAATCTTGGAAAAGTCACTTAACCTGTCTACCCTCATTTTCCTCATTTATGAAATGGTGACAATAATATCTATTTGTAGAATTATTTAAGGATAAAATTTTTTAATGTATATAAAGCAATCAACACAGAGCATGGCATATTGGACCTGCTAAATTATGGATGTTTTTCTTTTTTTTTTTTTTTGAGATGGAGTCTCACTCTGTTGCCCAGGCTGGAGTACAGTGGCACGATCTCGGCCTCACTGCAACCTCCGCCTACCAGGTTCAAGTGATACTCCTGCCTCAGCCTCCCGAGTAGCTGGAACTACAGACGCGTGCCACCACGCCCAGCTAAGTTTTTGTATTTTTAATAGAGACGTGGTTTCACTGTGTTAGTCAGGATGGTGTCGATCTCCTCACCTTATGATCCACCTGCCTCGGCTTCCCAAAGTGCTGGGATTACAGGTGTGTGTTTTGCTTAATAGTACAGTTTCTCCAAAAATATTAAATGTATAACTACATGCCTGATATATACTACATATATGTACACACATACATAAACACACATGCATGTACATATAAATATATATACGTGTATGTGTGTGTGATTTGGCTGCATCAACATAGCTAAGCCGAATTTCATGTCCCTATAATTCCCTCTCTGATTCACTAGAGACATTTCACACAAGATTTGGAAGGCAGAAGTCGGGCAGCAGCTATGTTACTTTTAACTCTTAGAAGGTCAGAACAGGGCTTAGGACAGTATATGCAACTTGTACGTTGTCTCTTATTTTCTGCCTTAGTGGATCAGCATAGGGCTGACTTCTAGCTTGCTCAGCTTCCAAACCAGATGTATGTTTAGCTTCATAGTGAGGGACACCTGTATTGTCAAAGTTACAGGCTTAGAGCGGGCAAGAGACCATCTCAGCCTCCAGTCCAGCCTATTGCATGTCCGTGGCCATCTTCTCTTACTGAATGGATGAACTAGGGACTTCCAGCTCTTGCACCAAATAGAAACAAGTCACACATATACAGTGTAAGCTGCTCCCAACATTCCATGTAAGATAAAATCCTTATTTTATTTTTATATATGTATCCCTTTGAGACATAATTAATACCTTAGATAAAAATAATGACTCTCAAATGAGCTAATGCTATAAAAATCAGTATTTTACAGATTACCAAGCACTGCAAAGTAGTTGCTTCCACATGTTTTTTTCTAAGACTGAAAGCTCACTGATGACAACCATGTCAGATTTGTTTCCATTCCCTGCCCTTAACGCTGAGGCTTAGTACTAAGTTTTTGATCAATAAAAAATTTTCATTGCAATCAGTATTTTAGAAATATTGCAGTGGTAGAATAATTTCTAGAGGGATAGGTGGGTTAGGTGCCATTGATAAATAATAAACTGCACATATGTAAAGTACAAAATGTTATACATTTTGATATACATGTAGGACCATGAAACCATCATCACAACCAAAATAGTGAGCATATTCATTATGCCCTTATGTAATTCTTTCCTTCTCCATTCCCCTCATCTCCTCAGGAAACCACTGTTCTGCTTCCTGTTACTGCAGATTAATACACTATTTCCAGAATTCCATATAAATAGAATCATAAACTATGTATCCTTCTTTTCACTCTCCGTATTTATTTTTACATTCACCACTGTTATGTGTATCAATAGTTCATTGTTTATATTGAGAAATAACATTCCACTATATTAATATTTCACAATTCGTGTACCCATTTACCAGTGGATAGCTTAGGTTGTTTACAAACAAAGTTGCTATGAATATTTCTGTACAAGTCTTTTTATGGACACATGCTTCTTTCTTTTTAGGTAAATACCTTGGAGTAGAATGTTGGGTCACATTGTGTGTGTTTAAGGTTTTAAGAAACCATAGTGGCTGCACCATTTTCTATTTTCACCAGCAGTTCCTGAGAGTTCCAGTTCCTCCATATCCTCACCAAATTGATATTGTCAGTCTTCTAATTTCAGCCACTCTAATACATGTGTAGTGGTTCTTTCTCTCACCTCTTAAGATGGAAGCTGAGATTATTAATTTAAGGTCTTTCTTTTCTAATAGAGGTGTTTAACACCATAAGTTTTGCTATAAATGCAGCTTTGAATTCTATAAATTGTGACGTTACGTTTTCTTTTTTTCAGATCAAAATACTTTATAATTTTACTTCTGATTTCTTCTTTGAACCATAAGCTATTTTTAAATGTGTTATTTTGTTTCCAAATATTTGAGGATTTCCTTTTAGAAATGTTTATGCTACTTCTTTCTAATTTAATTTAATTGTGATAAAAAAATCTACTATGTATTATTACTGGCATCCTTTTAAATTTATGGAAACTTGTTTTATGACCCAAAATATGATCTCTCTTGATAAATGTTCTGTGTGCACTTGAAAATAATAAATATAATGCTGCTGTTGGGTGGAGTTCAATTAGACAGGGTTGATTGATTATCATATTGAAGTCCTCTATGTCCTTACTGATTTTATATCTACTTCTTCTATCAGTTATCAAGAGAGTGGTATTGAAATTTCTTACTATAGTTATAAATTTGTCTATTTTTCTTTGTAGCGCTATCAATTTTTGAACATGTCTTCTGAAGTTCTATTATTGGGTGCGTGTGCATTTAGCATTTATATACTCTTAATAAATAGACACCTTTATTATTATGAAATGATCTTCTTTGTCCTTGGTTATAGTCTTTGCTCTGAAATATACTTTGTCTGACAATAAAACAGTAACTCCAGATTTCCTTTGTTATATTCTTTTATATTATTTATAATGCTTATTTTATTTGCCATCCTTGTACTTTTAATCTATTTTTGTCCTCATATTTAAAGTGTTTCTTGAAGGCAGCACATACTTGGGTCTTGCTTTTATATGCGATCTGACAATATCTGTGTGATGTTTAGACTGTTAACATTTAATGTGATTTTAATTATGCTTAAGTCTATCATCTTGCTATTTGTTTCTATATGTTCCATCTCTTTCTTGTTCTCCTTTTTTGGACTAATTATTTTTACAATTTTATTTTGTCTCCTTTGTTGGCTTATTAGGAATACATATACTCCTATTTTAGTGGTGATTGTATAGTTTATACTATACATTTTGAACTTTTCCATGAGTAGTCTAAAAAATCTTTCAATACTTCCATTTTTTCCATCATGGCACTGATACTAATGTTGTCAAACATTTTACTGTTATTGTGATTGCTATTATTTTTGTTTAAACATTCAATTATAAAGAGTTTTAAATAATAAGTAAATAATCTTATCTATTTACCCATGTAGTTACCATTTCCGGTGCTCTTCATTCTTTTGTGTCCATCCATATATCCATCAGGTATAATTTTTCTGACTAAAAGACTACTTTTAACAATTTTTTTTTTGATGGAGTCTCGCTCTGTTGCCCAGGCTGGAGTGCAGTGGTGTGATCTCAGCTTACTGCAACCTCCATCTCCCGGGTTCAAGCAATTCTCCTGCCTCAGCCTCCTGAGTAGCTGGGACTACAGGTGCGCGCCACCATGCCCAGCTAATTTTTTGTATTTTTAGTAGAGATGAGGTTTCATTATATTGGCCAGGATGATCTCAATCTCTTGACCTCGTGATCCACCCTCCTCGGCCTCCCAAAGTGCTGGGATTACAAGCGTAAGCCACCACACCAGGCCAATACTTTTTATATTGTTCTGCAGATGATGAATTCTTTCAGGTTTTTTAATCTGTGACAAAGTCCCTGTTTTGCTTTTTTTTTTTTTGAAAGATATTTCACAGGGCATAGAATTTTAGGTTGACTTTTCAGTGTTAAAAGATGGTGCACTACCGTCTTCTCACAAAGTATCAGAGTTCCACCAAGCAAGGCCTGATGTCAGAACAAGTTTCCGGTTCCAGGAGAGAGCACAGGTTCTAAGCAAGGAAAACTAAACAAAAGCCCAACTTGCAAAACAAAGTGAAGCTTCAGGCTACAGGAACATCCTGGGCAATTCCAGAGTATGAGTACCAAATCTGTTGACACTAAGATTAACTGAAGATCCAGTTACACAAAGAAAATTAGAATCCTTTCTCTGCCATGATTTATTCAATTCTGGGCCTATGAATGCAAATTATTCAACAGTGGGTGGCATTTAAGGAGCTTGAAAAGACACAGGTAGGGAATATCCTCAGACATATGAGAATAAAAATGTCAAGATATGCTATGTACTTGAAATTTACCAACATTCAAATTCAGGAAATGCAGAGAATCCCTGCAAAATAATTCACAAGAAGATCATCACCAAGACACATAATTATCAAATACTCCAAGACTGAAGTGAAATAAAAATGTTAAAGGCAGCTAGAGAGAAAGGACAGGTCACCTACAAAGGCAAGCCCATCAGACTAACTGGATCTTTCAGTAGAAACCTTACAAACCAGAAGAGATTGGGGCCTATATTAAACATTCTTAAAGGAAAGAAATTTCAACCAAAAATTTCATATCCAGCCAAACTAAGCTTCATAAGCAAAGGAGAAATAATATCCTTTTTATACTAAAAATGCTGAGGGAATTCATTACCACCAGACCTACCTTACAAGAGCTCCTGAAAGAAGCACTAAATACAAAAATGAAAGACCATTACCAGCCACTAACAAAAACACTTAAGTACACAGACTAGTGATACTATAAAGTAATCACATAAATAAGCCTGCATAAGAACCAGCTAACAACACAATCACAGGATCAAATTCACACATGTCAATACTAACTTTGACTGTAAACAGGCTAAATACCTCCAATTAAAAGGCACAGAGTGGCAAGCTGGATAAAGAAGAAAGACCCTATGGTATGCTGTGTTCAAGAGACCCCATCTGACATGCAATGACACTCATAGGCTCAACATAAAGGGATGGAGAAAAGTAAACCAAGGAAATGGAAAATAGGAAAAAGCAGGGGGTGCAATGCTAGTATCAGATGAAACAGACTTTAAACCAACAAAGATCAAAAAAGACAAAGAAGGGCATTACATAATAGTAAAGGGTTCAATTCAACAAGAATGCCAAACCATCCTAAATGTTCATGCACCAAATACAGGAGCACCCAGATTCATAAAGCAAGTTCTTACAGAGCTTCAAAGAAACTTAGACTCCCACACAATAATAGTGGGGGACCTCAACACTCCACTGAAAGTATTAGATAGATCATCAAGGCAGAAAATTAACTAAGATATTTAGGACCTGAACTCAACACTGGACCAAACGAACCTGATAGACATCTACAGATCTCCCCACCCCAAAACAACAGAATATGCATTCTTCTCATCACCACATGGCACATACTCTAAAATTGACCACACAATTGAATATAAAATAATCCTAAGCAAATGTAAAAGAACCAAAATCATACCAACCACACTCTCAGACCACAGTGCAATAAAATAGGAAATCACGATTAAAAAATCACTCAAAACCATACAACGACATGGAAATTAAACAACCTGCTCCTGAATGATGCTCTTGAATGATGGTTAATAATGAAATTAAGACAGAGATCAAGAAGTTCTTTGAAACTAATGAGAACAAAGATACGTCATACCAGAATCTCTGAGACATAGCTAAGGAGTGTTACAAGGAAAATTTATAGTACTAAATGCCAACATCAAAAAGTTAGAAAGATGTCACACTAACAATCTAACATTACAACTAAAAGAACTAGAGAAGCAAGAGGAAATCAATCAAATCAATCCAAACCAAGAGGAAATCAACCAAATCAACCCAAAGCTAACTGAAAGCAAGAAATAGCAAACATCATACATGAACTGAAGGAGGTTGAGACCAAAAAAAACATTCAAAAGATCAATAAATCCAGGAACTGGTTTTTTGAAAAAAAAAAAAAAAAAGATAATAAGATAGACTGCTAGCTATCTTATTAGCTAGACTAATAAAGAAGAAAAGAGAGAGGATCCAAATAAACACAATTAGAAATGACAAAGGGAATATTACCACTGACCCCACAGAAATACAAATAAACATCAGAGAATACTATAAACATATCAATGCACACAAGCTTAAAAATCTAGAAGAAATGAATAAATTCCTGAACATATCCTCAAGACTGAACCAGGAAGAAATTGAATCCCTGAACAGACCAATAATGAGCTCTGAAATTGAATCAGTAATAAATAGCCTGTCAATGAAAAAAAAAAGCACCCAGAACTAGATGGATTCACAGCTAAATTTTACCAGATGTACAAAGAAGAGTTGGTACCATTTATACTGAAACTATTCCAAAATATTGAGGAGGAGGGACTCCTCCCAAACTCATTCTATGAGGCCAGCATCATTCTGACACTGAAACCTGGCAGAGACACAACAAAAAAGAGAAAACTTCAGGCAAATATTCTTGATGAACACTGATGCAAAAGCCTTCAACAAAATATTAGCAAACAGAATCCAGCAGCACATCGAAAAGCTAATCCAGCACAATCAAATAGGCTTTACTGGTGGGATGCAAGACTGCTTCAGCAAGACTGCTTCAACATATGCAAATCAATAAACATGATTCATCACATAAACAGAACTAAAAACAAAAACCACAGGGTCATCTCAATAGATGCAGAGACATGATAAAAGAACATACCTCAAAATAAGAGCCATCTATGACAAACACAGTCAATAGCATACTGAATGGGGAAAAGCTGGAAGCATTCCCCTTCAAAACTGGTACAACACAAGGATGCCCTCTCTTACCACCGAGAGCAGTTTGGCAAGAGAAAGACATAAAGGGCATCCAAGTAAGAAGAGAGGAAGTCCAAATATCCTTTTTTGCAACAGCATGACTCTATATGTAGAAAACACTGTGGTCTTTGCCCAAAAACTCCTTGAGCTGATAAGCAACTTCAGCAAAGTTTCAGGATACAAAATCAATGTACAAAAATTACTAACATTCATATACACCAACAACAGCCAAGCCAAGAGCCAAATCAGGAATGTAATCCCATTTACATTTGCCACAAAAAGAATAAAATACCTGTGACTACAGCTAACCAGAGAAGTGAAAGATCTCTACAATGAGGATTACAAAACACTGCCCAAAGAAATTAGAGACGACACAAACAAATGGAAAACCATTCCATGCTCATGCTCATGGATTAGAAGAATCAGTATCGTTAAACTGGCCATACTGTCCTAAGCAATTTATAGGTTCAATGCTAATCCCATCAAATTACCAATGTCATTCTTGAAAGAACTAGAAAAAACTATTTTAAAATTTATATGGAACCAAAAAAACAAAAAAAGCCCCAATAACCAAGGCATTCCTAAGCAAAAAGAACAAAGCAGGTGGTATCACATTACCCGACTTCAAATTGTACTACAGGGACACAGTAACCAGAACAGCATGGTACTGGTACAAAAACAGACACTTAAACCAATGGAAAAGAGTTGACAGCTCAGAAATAAGGTCACACACCTACAACCATCTGATCTTTGATAAAGTTGACAAAAACAAGCAATGGGTAAAGGACTTGCTATTTAGTAAATGATGCTGAGATAACTGGCTAGCCATATGCAGAAGATTGAAACTAGACCCCTTCCTCACACCATATACAAAAATCAACTCATGATGGATTAAAGACTTGAATGTAAAACCAATACTATAGAAATCCTGGAAGACAACCTAGGCAATATGATAATGGACATGAGAACGGGCAAAGATTTAATGACAAAGACGCCAAAAGCAATTGCAACAAAAGCAAAAATTGACAGATGGGATCTAATTAAACTAAAGAGCCTCTACATAGCAAAATAAACTATCAACAGAGCAAATAGACAACCTACAGAATGGGAGAAAGTTTGGGAAACAATGAATTTGACAAAGGTCTAATATCCGTCATCTATAAGGAACTTAAACAAATTTATCAGAAAAAAACAAACAACCCCATTAAAACATCACTGATCATTAGAGAAATGCAAACCAAAACCACAATGAGATACTATTTCATACCACTTGAATGGTGATTATTAAAAAGTCACAAAACAACAGATATTGGCAAGGTTGCAGAGAAATAGGATCACTTTTACACTATTGGTGGGAATGTAAATTAGTTCAACCATTATGGAAGTTGGTGTGGTGATTCCTCAGAGATCTACAACTAGAAATACAATTTGCCCCAGCAATCCCTTTACTGGGTATATACCCAAAGGAATATAAATTATTCTATTACAAAGATACGTGCATGCATATGTTCATTGCAGCACTATTCACAATAGCAAAGACATGGAATCAACCCAAATGCCCATCAATGATAGACTGCATAAAGAAAACATGGTACATATACACTGTGAAATACTGTGCAGCCATTAAAAGGAAGAAGATCATGTCATTTGCAGGGACATGGACAGAGCTGGAAGCCATTATCCTCAGCAAACTAACACAGGAACACAAAACCAAACACCACATGTTCTCACTTATAAGTGGAAACTGAATGATGAGAACACACTAACACAGGGCGAGGAACAACACACACTGGGGGCCTGTCAAGCGAGGGGATTGGGGGAGGAAGAGCATTAGGAAAAATAGCTAATGCATACTGGGCTTAATACCTAGGTGATGGGTTGAGAGGTGCAGCAAACCACCGTGACACGTTTACCTGTGTAACAAATCTGCACATCCTGCACATGTACCCCAGAACTCAAACTTTAAAAAAAAAATGTGGGCAAAGGACATGAACAGACAATTTTTAAATGAAAACATACATGTTGCCAACAAGCATATGAAAAAAAGCTCAACATTACCGATCGTTTGAGAAATGCAAAACAAAACCACAATAAGATACCATCTCATTGTGATGGTATCTCATTGTGTAATAATTGTCAAGATGGCAATTATTAAAAAGTCAAAAAATAACAGATGCTGAGGAGGTTGCACAGAAATGGAAATGCATATGTACTGTTCGTGGGAATGTCAATTGGTTCAACTACTGTGGAAAGCAGTGTGGCAATTCCTCAAAAAGCTGAAAACAGAACTACAATTTGACCCAGCAATCCCATTATTGGGTATATACCCAAAGGAATATAAATCATTCTACTGTAAAGACACGTGCACACATATGTTTGTTGCAGCACTCCTCACAATAAGAAAGACATGGGATCAACCTAAATGACCATCAATAGTAGACTGAATGTATTAGTTTGTTTTCACATTGCTGGTAAAGACATACCCAAAACTAGACAATTTAAAAAAAAAAAAAAAAAAAAAGAGGTTTATTGGACTTACAGTTCCACATGGCTGGGGGAGGCCTCACAGACATGGCAGAAGGCAAGTCACATCTTACGTGGATGGCAGCAGGCAAAAAGAGATCTTGCACAAGGCAACTCCCTTTTCTTTTTTTTTTTTTTTTTAGGGCGTGGGGAGAAACAGAATCTCGCTCTGTCGCCCAGGTTGGAGTGTCGTGGCACGATCTCGGCCCACTGCAACCTCTGCCTTCCAGGTTCTAGTGATTCTCCTGCCTCAGCCTCCTGAGTAGCTGGGATTACAGGCGTGCACTACCACACCCAGCTAATTTTTTTTTATTTGTAGTAGGGATGGCGTTTCACCATCTTGGTCAGGCTGGTCTCAAACTCCTGACCTCATGATCCGCCTGCCTCGGCCTCCCAATGTGCCGGGATTACAGGCCTGAGCCACTGTGCCAGCCAACTCCCATTTTTTAAAACCATCAGATCTCCTGAGACCCATTCACTATCACAAGAACAGCATGAGAAAGACCCACCCCCATAATTCAATCATCTGCCACTGGGTCCCTCCCACAACACATGGGAATTATGGGAGCTAGAAGATGAGATTTGGGTGGCGGCACAGAGCCAAACCATATCACTGGATAAAGAAAATGCAGTACATATACACCATGGAATACTGTGCAGCCATTAAAAAGAATGAGATCATGTCTTTTGCAGGAACATGGATGGAGCTGGAGGCCATTATCCTTAGCAAACTGACACAGGAACAGAAAACAAAATACTATATGTTCTCACTTATCAGTGGGAGCCTAATGATGGTAACTCATGGACACAAAGAAGTGAACAATAGACATTGGGGCCTACCTAAGGGTAGAGGGTGAAAGGAGGGAGAGGATCAGAAAAAATACTATTGGGTAGTAGGCTTAGTATCTGGGTCATGAAATAACCTGTACAACAAACCCCCATGACACGAATTTACTTATATAACTAACCCGCATATGTATTCCTGAACCTAAAAGTTTTATTTAAAAAAAGAATAAAATGTAAACAGAATATAAATGATTCATTCAGCACATTTCTAGCCTCCCATAGTGTACATGAGACTTTCCCCAGATGAGCACAAGATTAATTTGTTTCACATGATTTATATAGTAATTGAGACCTCAGCATACTCAAACAGTAAATAATAATACATGGTACTGCCTGGTGCTATTTACCTGAGTTATTCATAAACTTAGCTCTACTATTACAGGCAGCTGTACCTACAATGATACCACTCAGGATTTGGAGTGGGCTCAGCAAGCATTGTGTACCATTGTGATCATAGGCAAGCTCAATAAAATCTTCCTCCATCCCAACATGGTAAGCAATGAATAGAGCTTTGGGGAGCAAGGTTTCATGTATCTGCAAAATGCTTGACAATTCAAAGCCATTCTTTGTTCTTATTGGTAAGGAACTTGGTGATAATTCAATTGCTGCCTGAGGTTTAGAAGAACTAAGCAAATCAATTTCATTTCTTTAGATGTCGTCCTTGAGTTATTAAATTATTTTAAAATTTAATTGCATTGGAAGAGTTATTTCTGTGCTGTGATCAAGTCATAGTTCACAAGCATGTGGAAGGTGTCAGTCAGTCAGGAAACCTGTAAGGAAGAAACCAAATCTCTTTGCAAGAGCAACTGTATTTTCTGGGTGAATCCTACCCCTAGCTTCAGACCGAACATAAAGTAAAGAGGGGCTTTAGCATTTATCCATTCATTCCACAGATTTTTATTGTTTATCTACATTTCAAATAAAATTTCTAATGGAAGTTTTGATAGCTGTTTGAAAGAATTTACCATATCTTATATATCTCCAGATATTTATCTTTGTGACATAGGATGCTATATTGCCCTCATTCTTTTCTGTCTTTTCTTTCTTTTCTTAGATATATGAACTAAGTAGACAATAAGACTTCAGTGAATAAGAATCACGTGTTATAATTCTTCTGAGTCTGTACACATAAATGATACCTCTTAACTTATAAAATGACACTTGCCTTTTAAAAATAATTATTTTCTTAATGCTTTTCTTAGGTCTACCAGATAACAGATTACTCAGATGAGAAATCCAACTAAAATTGCTGAACCATTGTGCCTGTGGACCAGAACAACTGCTCAAACCTTCTTCTCAGGAAAACTGAACAATACTTACCACCAAAGCCCAAAGCTAAAATGCCAATTAACCTTTTTTTGGCAACTCTAGCTCCAGTGTTTGTTGTGTGCTCTTTGTCAAAGTTCATGAACTAGTTAGTAATTCCAAGTAATCTAGAAAAGAGTAAATACAAATAAAATATGTTGCTTTGTGCATGTGATGTTATTCTTTTTATGATATTTTAGACAGCTGTATGATAAACCTGCAGCTTCAAGTGGCCTGGCATCTGTATGGAATCGTAACACAGACCCACAGCCCGGCCACCAAAAAGTAAACTTTCACAGGGAGCGCTAATCTTCACTTATGTTTCTAGAAGAACATCAAAAAAGAGCTATTTAATAATACACAACAACACTCCTCAAATTCCCTTCCTCCTTCCCCTACTTCTCTTCTGCGTAGCTTCTCCCAGCTTAAAACCCCAAACTGACTCCACAGTCCCAGGTATAATGATTTTCCCGGTTTCTCATATCCCGAAATCTTTATAAGTAGATCAGCTTATCTTCTCTGGCTTTGTCCTCCCTCCACTCTCTGGGCTTCTAGGGCCTTATCTTTCTTCTAATTCATCATCGGACAATATCCAGGAGCCAGGCTAGAAAAGATTCTCCTTCAGTGGGAGGAAGGGATAGGGAGAGGAATATGGTAAAAAATATTTTAAAAAATAAATTATGTCCCTATGACACACAGTAAATAGAATTAGAAGAAAATCAGGCAGTTCTGTAGATTTTGGCTACATGTGGCAGAAAATCTAAGTCCTATTAATACATCAACTTAATTATCTAGATATTTCAGTGATATTAATATTCAGGCAAAAATCACTGCCTTATTTCCCCAATTCAAATTAATCCTGTGGCATATATCCCTCAGTAGCATAATTTAACTACTAATGACACACAAGTTTTCATCTCAGAGGTCAACAAATAGAAGTGTACAGCCTGTTTTTATGCAGCCCACAAGTCAGGACTATTTTTTACGTTTTTTAAAATGATTGGAAAAAAGTCAAAAGAAGAATAATATTTTGTGACCCATGAAAATTATGTGCCCTTCAAATTTCAGGGTTCATAAATGTTGGTTGTATTGGAACAAAGCCTCGCCCATTCATTTACCGTTGACCCATGATCAACACGGGTTTGAACTGCCTGGATTCACTTATACATGAGTTTTCTTCCAGCTCCCCCATTCCTGAGAGAGCAGACCAATCCCACCTCTTCCTCCTCCTCCTCGGCCTATTCAATGTGAAGACGACGAGGATGAAGACCTTTAGAATAATCCACTTCCACTTAATGAATAGTAAATATATTTTCACTTCCTTATGATTTTTCTTAATAATATTCTCTTTTCTCTATGTACCTTATTGTAAAAATATACTATATAATACCTACAACATATAAAATATATATGTATTGACTTCATGTTATCAACAAGGATCCCAGTCAACAGTAGGCTATTGGTAGTTAAGTTCTGGGGGAGTCAAAAGTTATATGTGGATTTCCAACTGCATGGGGGTTCAGTGCCTCTAGCTCCATGTTGCTTGAGGGTCAACTGTCCATGCTGTCTGAGGCTACTTTTGTGCTATGACTGCAGAGATGAGAAAAGACAGAGACCACACGACCCACAGAATCTAAAATATTTACTAACTATCTGGACTTTAATAGAAAAACCTGACCCCTGCTTTTCTCATAAAACTCCAGTCTTATTTGATTCAGGAAGTTACTCTGGTGTCTGCTTAATATTTAGACAGCTAAAGGTCACTGTATGTATCTAACATGAACTTTTTTATCCTATGAAAAATAGATCAGCACAGAATTATTTGCCCTGAAAAACTGCAAGCCTCAAAATGACTAGGTCTATGAAGAAAGTACATATTTATAGAAGAAATATAGCCCTGGATGCTCTGGATACTATTTTCATTTCTATTAAAACAGAACCAAGGACTTTTTAAAATTGTTGTTATTACAGCAAATTTAGAACTCACTTGCCAGAATGGCTGCCTATACTCTTCAATTAGATCCCAAGCGTCTTTCTTTCTGTTCATCATTGAAGAAGGTGTCCAGTTATTTTCTATTAAATAGTGGTCTAAGGCTGGGTGCCGTGGCTCACACCTGTAATCCCAGCACTTTGGGAGGCCGAGGAAAGTGGATCACCTGAGGTCAGGAGTTCAAAACCAGCCTGGCCAACATGGTGAAACCCCATTTCTACTAAAAATACAAAAGTTAGCCGGGCGTGGTGGCATGCACCTATGATCCCAGCTACTCGGGAGGCTGAGGCAGGATAATTGCTTGAACCCAGGAGGCGGAGGCTGCAGTGAGCTGAGATCGTGTCACTGCACCCCAGCCTGGGCAACAGAGTGAGACTCTGCCTCCAAAAAAAAAAAAAAAAAAGTGGTTCTAGTCTACCCTGCCCTGGAGATGGCTGGCTACATGGCATGCGGAGATGGCTGGCTACATGGCATGCAGAGGTGGCAAAGAAAAGGACACAAGCTAAGTCATCTGCACTCCTTCCAGAAGAAAAGTACCATGTAGCCACTGAATATATTAGAAAATATAGAGGCTCTGCTCATATTACAATACTGAAATCCTATACTAAGTACATTTTAAATTATAAAGTCATTTCTCTCTGTTTTTTTCTTTCTCTCCTCACTTTTGCTTCCTTCTCTTAATTTGCGTTTTGAATATCTCAAGTCCTGTTCTTATTTCATGTAGAAGCCAGGCTCACTCTCTATACACCGTCTCCCTCTCCTTGTCTTCTTAAGCCACTTGAAAACACTCACTTATCCAGCCTTGGAGGTAAAAGTACCCTGAGGACTTCAAGGTTACCAAACGCAAAAGCTGTCTTTTATTTATTTCACAGTCAGTATACTGAGAGCACAGAATGAAAATTTCAGTTGTACAGATCTGCCTGTGTTTAGAAGTGTTTTTAAAAAGCAATAGGACTTCTTATGACATTAAAAAAATTACTCAGTTAATAGCCTTGTTTATGCCAGGATAGCAGGAAGAAATGCACCGTTAAAGCTGATAAAAGAAAAGATAAACCCAAAATACATTATTATTCATGTGTTTGAAAAGCTAAAACCACTGGTGAGCATTAAATGCTTGGTGTAGAAGGGGAGACATTTGAAGTTATCAAAGCAAAAAGTCCTGAAGTCGAAGAGAAAGAAGCTCTCGTTTAAAGAATAGTTGAAGCTACTACTTTTAAATGGCATGAATTTTGAAGTCATGGAAAAAGACGTAGAAAAAGCCAAAATGTTGGAAAGCTGACAGCTGAAGGGGAAGGAATAATTGGTGAGGCCTGAGCAATGAATTGGAAAGTTCCAGGAGTACAGCTTTGAGAGATCAATTAACGTGAACTGTTATCCAAGTCCCGGAAGTACAAACTTATCCTTTGCCTAAGTAGTTTAGTCATAACAATACACAAACACACATGTGTGCACACAGGCCCCTTGCTTCCCAAATAAGTCTGGAGTTTTATGAAACAGACTGCTTCTGGTCTTAACCTGGTAGACAAGAGGCAGGAGACACGGTCCAGGTTTGGAGAATATGTCAGAAAAGCAGCAGTCAGTCCCGACCTGACTACCTACCATCTGTGTAACTTTAGACAGGTGTTATGGGCTGAACCATGTCCCCAAAATCTATACATTGAGCCCCTAAACTCCAATTACTCAGACTGTGATTTTATTTGGAGATAGGGCCCTTAAAGTGGTGATTAAGTTAAAATGAGTCCCTTAAGGTGGGCCCTAATCTATTCTGACTGATGTCCTTATAAGAAAAGAATATTTAGACACATAAAGAGATGCAAGGGACATGCACAGAGAAGAAAAGCCATATGAGGACACGAGAAGGCAGCCACTTTCATATCAAGGAGAGAGGTCTCAGGAGGAATCAACCCTGTGTCTTGGGAGAAACCACCTTGATCTTGGACTTCCAGCCCCCAGAACGAAGAAAAAATCAATTTCTGTTGTGGAAGCCACCCAGTCTGTGGTACCTTGTTATGGCAGCCTGAGAAGACTAATACACCCAGTAACCAACACAGAATCTCCCCAAGGGCGGGCATTTTTTCCCCTTTTGTCAGCAGCAGTATTCTCAGCAATTTGGACAGTCCCTTGCAGTAATAAGGTCTCACTATGCATTTAGTGAATGGACGAATGAATGGGTGAAGCATCTATTTTCTCATCTGTAAAGACAGAACCATCATAATCCTATTGCACCAGTTCCTGGTAAGTAACAGAGAGAACTATATGTACATATTTCTTTTATCTACAAAAGACCACACTAGAAGTATTCTTCATGTTGCCCCATCACCATCATCACAGCAATATGTGAATGACAAATTTTCCAAATCTCAGTTTCATCGCAAAGTGGATATGAGAGAATTGTTTGTCTCAGAGAGGCTGTGGGAAAAAAAATGAATTATCAATTATTATCTGGAAAGAATGTACGAGTTTTTAGATTTTAGAATTATACACATTATTATGCATATTCTGGGGCTCCGATGACACATGAGTTCAGGATATTTAGTTGTCAACACACCTTAAAGCAGCACAAGTGCTTCTTGAAATTGTCTGTGTCTCATAACTGTTTATTCAGATGCACTGAATAAACAATTATGGAACACAGGCAATTGGAGATCTCCATAAAATAGGGGTCATTTTCACCAATATTACTGTATTTATTGCACCCAAGTGTATTTTAGCATAACACTTGTAATAATGTAAAATTGCCCTCTGTTTTATAGGTAATGCTACTCAGTTACGCTAAGGGGAAAGAAACACCAAATCTGCAAGCTAGGCATTTTTTTCAGCATTCAAAATATGACCACAAGAAGTGTCATGACAATTTAATTGCTTCAAAGTCATATTCTGAGACATACAGTTCATAATTTTAAAGCAATTCATCCACATTCAACCCTGGAATTACTAGCCCACAGTTTCTTGGATTCTGTCATAGTTTTTGCCACTTAAAATTACTAAGGTTAATTTGATTTTAGTAAAGTGAGTGAGATTTAGAGACAGACATTTGGAGTTTCATTTTCCTTTCCACCACTCTTTATTTCCAGTGATGGGAAAATTGTGTTAAACCCTTGGAGCTTCAGTTTCCTTATCTGTAAAATTCAGTATAATGATGTCAACTACACTCATTACAAACATAGGCTTTGGAGGTAGACAACAACCAAGATGTAAATGCTAGCTTTTCTCTCACTAGCCATGGACTGAGACACACTAATCCATGAACACTTCTGGGTCTTGAGGTCTTCATCTGGCAGGTTGTCACACACAAAGTATAATTCGGTGATATGGTTAGGCTTTGTGTCCCCATCCAAATCTTATCTGGAATTGTAATCTCCAGGTGTTCAGGGAGAGACCTCGTGGGAGGTGATTAGATCATAAGGGCAGTTTCCCCCATGCTATTCTTGTGATAGTGAAGGAGTTCTCACGAGATCGGATGGTTTTATAAATGGCAGCTTGCCCCTGGGCTTTTCCCCTTTTCTCTCCTGCCACCCTGTGAAGAGGTACCTGCTTCCCCTTTGCCTTCTGCCACGATTGTAAATTTCCTGAGGCTCCAGCAATGCAGAACTGTGAGTCAATTAAACATCTTTTCTTTATAAATTACCCAGTTTCCAGTATTTCTTTACAGGAGTGTGAAAACGGACTGATACATTTGGCATCACACAGAGGCACTCAGCTAAAGGTGAAAGGGGAGACAATATCCTCTGCTTGTTGAGCCTTGTGACCTGGCATGGCTGCCCATTGGAAGCAGTGGAGTTTTACCCATTAAGATGTAATCTTCTCTCAGACCATGTGCTCACCCTTAGGAGACCCTCTTCTAATTCACACAAAGCATTATGTTGCCCAACTTTGCTGTGTACCTGTCTCTCTTTGTATCTGTTCAACTTTGAGGATGAAATAAGATACATGTGTAAAACACCTGCCCATGCTGGTGTGCCCCACATTAGCTGCTGGCTGTGACATTCAACCCCCTCCTTTCCATACTCATTGCCAGTGCCCAAAGCAGTTCAGCTTCTGATCATTTCTTGCCACAGCAGCTTCTTTAGCCTCACAATAGGTCCTTTGCCTCCATTGCAACCCTAATTCATTCTCATTCATTGGGCCAATGTAAAGGTGATGTACCATGCCTGCCGAGATCCTGAATGGCCTGTCCAGATTGCTGAGTGTGGTTTATGGGTTCCTCTGTCATTGTTAGTGTCTGCCCAGCTCCACAAGCCCAAGCTCTCTGCTCAGCAGCCCCCTGACCAACCCACCTTCCTGCCTCTGTGCCTTCGAGCAGTGAGTGTCCGGCATGGCTTTCCACCCATTTGCTTTGCTGACCAGCTGCTACTCACTCTTCAAGATTCACCTTCCATCACATATTTCCAGATGTGTGCCCTAAGCCAGCTCTTTGACCTTGCCCACTCCTACTCCAAAGTAATTTGCCCAAAGCCACACAGTAAGTGGTGAAACTCAGATTTGAACCTCAAGCTACCTGATTCCAATTTCCTCGCTCCTTCCATTGTGCTGTCCTGCTTCTTTTATACAGTAAACTCGATTCTGATTGGTTTAACAGTGCCTCTGATTTCCATTCATTAAGCAGAGCTGAGGATGAATTGGGCCAGACCAACTTTTTCTAAAGACCTGGTTTTTAACCTCTAACATGTAATGTATCACACATTACTAGAATTGTTTACTTTTCTTGTCTCTTCCACCTGACTGCTTGAATCCTGAGTTGGAACTGTTCTATTCATGGGTACCCCAGGTTCTGGCATGCAGTAGGCACCCAACAAACGGGTGAAAGAGAGGGGAGGTACATTATTGTGGGGTCAAAGAGGAAATCGATTTAAAAAGTGTTTTACTAGCTGTGAAGTACTACGAAATGATCATTTCTTTGCCTTGCTTATTCTTGCTTTCACCCTTGCTTCAACCTTAGCATCATCCTTCTCTTTTTCCATCAGACCCCAAATTCTGAAGCCCTAGAAAATTCTGGAAGTCACCTTTGTATTGAAGAAGTAAAAAGGTGAAAATTTCCATAGATTATACTTAATACTAAAGAAGCTAATCTCATTAAGATCAGGGACTTTAATTTAAACATGCTTGCATCTCCACAAGCATCTCACACCAAATAGAAGCTCCAAAAGTATTGACAATTGTCTTAAAATCTTGCATAAAGGTGTATATGATTTATACCAGAATTCTAATATTGTGCTATTTTCCACATCTCTTAAAATAAAGAGGCAAATCCAAGTAAAACTAAACAAACAAAAGCAAAAACAGTATTTTATAGATATATAATTTTGTAGCCTAGAGGCTATGAAGGGTAGAGCGAAAGTGTGTTTGTATGTGCGCTTGTGACTGCCTTTTAAGGAAAAGAATTGGGAAGATTCTTTAGACTTTATGGAACACATGTAACCCAAAACCTTTCATCTTTAAGGGAAAAAAAATCAAGAAAACTTTAGAGTCCCTGTGAACAAGACATTAAATGTTTTGGGAGATTTGGGAGGAAATCCTTAAGGAAAAAGGAAGAATCTTGTGACCGAGGTTGGCGAGTGTGTGATATTCTACCAGCTTCAGGGAAGAGAGGTTTGGGGTCTTGGGATGTGCACGTGGGCTTGAGCAGTGGACCCCTGAGTGACAGAGCCAGTGGTGCAGAGCTGAGGACCCCAGTTATCAAGATCAGAAGGCAGGATGTGCAGGACAGACAACAGCTTCGAGTCTGCGTGCTAGGCTGTGCCATTCAAGACGTCTCTCTTGCTGGGACTCCCAGGGGGACTCTGCCAACCACCAGGTAAAAGGAAGCATTGGCTTCTATGGGAGGAAGGAGGCTCAGGTTTTAGTTACTGTGGCCTTTCTGTGGCTAAGGCAGCACATGTCAAAGATGGTGGACAGAACACCCCAGGATGCGTATGCTGGAGGGGAGCCTCTTGAGAGATACAGCATTGGGAAGCCTTAGCTGCTTGAAAAGGCACTGGGAACTCTCTGTCCCAAGAAAGACTGCAAATTCAGAGCCACAGAATACAATCAAGCTGACTGCGCAGTGCTGACACCTAGAGGTACCATTCCCATTGACTGCACCTTCTGGAGTTGTGCAGTGCACAACTTGCATAACTGTGCATCATGACCTTAGGTCATATTTTCTTGGGAAAACTCGCCCCATATGAGGTGGCAGGACATCAGAGCTGTTGTGTTGTATTGGGATGATGCTTCCTTGTCTAGTCAATTACCTGTGAGTGAATTGCAGGAAAATTAAGTCACTTAGACTGAGGATTTTAAGAACTTGCTTAAGGCTTAGTAATGTTCTTGGCTGCAATTTCTCAGAAATGAATTTTCCACTGATAGGAAGCTCTTCTGCAGAAGCCTGGACTGACCTCACATATAATGTGGACTCCTGTCACTACCCAGGACTGGCACCAAGAGCACCCAAGGGGATTTAGTGGGAATGCCAGTGTTTGAAAACCAAGAATGTCTGGAAGCCTTTCTTTGATATCACAAGAAGGCAGAGGAGGAAGACAACTTGAAAACTTATAAAATTTTCCCTCACTACAATCCTACATGATAAGTCTTTTCATCATTACACAGAGAAGTTGATGCTCAGCTTCTGCTGAGCTGGTTCTTCTTGAGTCATTTATTCAAAACCACACAACAAAAAAATAGTGAAGTCCAATTTGCCCCCCAAGCTACTTGACTCCATTTTCATCTTTCTTCCCATTGCACCACTCTTCTTCCCCTTATACATCAAAATACATTCTGATTAGTTTAACGGTGCCTCTGATTTCAGTAGATTAATCAGAGCTGAGGTTAAGTTGGGCCCAAAGTTTGCCTCCAGTTCTCCATGGTTAATCCACCATCTGCTGGGAAGAATGGTCAGTGTTTAAAGAGAAGCAAAAGAATCCACTGTCTGCCATTCCTATCACTTCCATTTCAGCAAATATTTCATTTGGTCTTTAATGAGCATTGTATTTGGAGTTTCTCCTCAAGCCTGTTAAATGTCCCTGTTTCATAGCCCGACTTCAGAAGCATTCAAGAAAATCCTTGAGCCAAAATGTTAGCAGGTCTGATTGCCTTTCTTTCCCTTCCAGGTCACAGTAACTATCACAATGGCAATGATGACAGCATTTTTGAACATGGATCCCCTTTACCTGAATCACTAAAGGACACCCTTTAGGTGATAGTTGGTCTGAATGATGTACCATCTTTCCAGGGCTGAGGTGGAATAACCGTTGGAGCTCCACAGGACCCCCTTTAGTCATTCAGAATCACTTTAACTTAAATGGTAGAAGAAAACTCTGAAGAGTTGCCATAGTTTAAATAAAATTTAGGGGAAAAATAGCAGAAGAAATCATCTTAATTTAACATACAAAGAGCTATATTTCAGTTCTATCCAATTAGCAGTGCTCAATATTATTAAAATCTGTTGACAAAAAAGTAGCAGATGCTCCATTTTCCTTGATGTTAATTAATGAAGTTTTTACCTGTAAAAATTTGAAGAAACCGGATCTTTTATAATCAAATAGCTTTCGCCTACACAAAATCTACGTCTGGAAAAACATGTAAGTGTGTCAATATTCAAAAGGGATAATTATCCTTTGAATTCTCCAGATCTTCATTTCTCTTTCTTAGTGTTCTCCAAATCCAAACAGGCAGCAGTTTCCACTGAAATAAACGGTGATAATAATTACGTGGTGGAAGTCACCAGTTATCTCTGGCTGACTCTTTTATGGCAGGGATGGCTCATTGGCAGTGCTATAAAATTAAAAGATTATAATAATCCTAACAAGATACTCCACCTATTTTCAACCTATGGAGAAGAGTTTGTGTGAATGTTGATTTTCTAGCTTTTTAATCAGAGAAAATTTTGAACATAAACAAAAGTTGAATAATATGGTAAACCCCCAATTATCCGTTACCCAGCTTCAATAATTATCAACACCTGGACATTCTTACTTCATTTATGACTCTGCCCACTTTCCTGTCCTTCCATTATACCGTTTCATGCATAAGTATTTCAGCGTGGATCACTGAAGATAAGGATTCTTTACCTAAACACAAGTGAAACAGTCCTATAACATCTTGTAAAAAAAAATGACATCAATTTCTTAACGTCAGTGTACAAGTTTTCCTGTTTACCTCCTAATTTTTAGAGGTTGTTTGGTTTCTTTAAATCAGACCCAAATCAGGTTTATAGATTGCAGTTTGTTATAATAAACTATACCAAAATTTTCCTGGTTTAAAATTATAAACATTTATTTCATGTTCAGGCTACATTGAACCCTGACCTGGCTCAGCTGGGCTTGGTTGTGCTCAGCCCCATTTGTCCTCTGGTCCTGGAGGCCTGGCTAAAGGAGCAGCTCCCATGTGGGGCATATTGTTCTCAAGGAGGAGGGAGAAGCACAGAGGCAGAGCCAAGCCACACAAGAACATCGAAGGCTTCTGCTTGGACTCAACACCTGTCTGTCCCTTCCACTCACATTTCAAAGACCAGCGCGAATCAATGACCAAAGCCCAGTCCAACTGGCCCCTAAGCCCAGACCACAGATTTTTGTTCTGCTAAAGATGAGAAAAGAGGTTTATGTAGCCCACTGAAGGTTATGTGACCTAATAAGTGAGGAGACCACAGAACAAAAGGTCAAAGCACCCTGGTCCATTTGTGTCCATAAAGACTCTTCTCCATCAGCCCCTCACCCCCCACCATTTTAAAACTGAAGCATCAAAATTGGAATCCGAGGTCTGGGTGTCTTCACTTCCTAACATGTAATTGAGAGGCTCCTCACCCAATGCTGCCCTTGACAGGGCTCAGTACTCTTCCTCCTCATCGTGAATCACCATTTCTGGAGGTCCACAGGGTGTTAGGTGCTATGAAATAAAAAAGCAGCTTTCCTGGAAAATTACTGGATTAAGCCGAGGTAATAGTTTTCTTGGTCACAGGTTTTCTCAGAGACATTAAGATGCACTACAGACCAGACACAGTGGCTCACACCTGTCATCTCAGCACTTTGGGAGGCTGAGGCTGGAGAATCACTCGAGTTCAGGAGTTTCAGACCAGGACCAGCCTGGGCAACATGGTGAAACTCCATCTCTACAAACAATACAAAAATTAGCTAGACATGGTGGCAGGTGTCTGTAGTCCCAGATACTTGAAGGGCTGAGGTGGAAGGATCGCTTGAGCCCAGGAGGGTGAAGCTGCAGTGAGCCAAGGTCATAACAAAAAAGCACTAAAAGCACTACGTAGATAAGTCTCAAAGATAGGAGTCAGCAGTTGGCAGCATTTCTCATACGCATTTGGTCACAGAATTATGTTCTCTGGGCATCTTGAGGAAGTAGTGATCTGGGAGAAATCTTTGGGAAATGGTGGTCGGTCTGAATGAGATACCATCTTTCTCGCATATGACAGTTTCTGAAGTGCTTCCAATTTGAAACTTCCCGGCTGTGCTGTTAATCCCACACCTACCTAGCTGCATCATCTGGGCTGCTTTTCAAAGAATATTGATACCTGGTCCTCTTCAGGTTTAAGGTACAGATTTCATTGGCAGGTGTGGGCCCTGGAGTGTAGACATTGTAGAAAAGCTTCTCCAGATTATTCCAATTGAGCCTTGACCTAAAAGACAAAAATGTCTATTTCTTGTTCATTTGCTACATGCTACAGATGTACATAAACAAGCTACCGTTTCTCAAGCAACTGATATTTGAGATGGGGTCTGAGCATAGGCAGGAGTTAGCCTGATAGGGAGGAAAAGGCTAACTGGCATTATGGGCACCACATGGGCAAAGCTTTAGAGGCAGGCAAAGATAACGGCACAGTAAAGGAAACACTGGAGGACTTAGCCATTCTATGTCTTGATATTTTCATCCATTAAGTTGCTTCTTTTATTCTCCCTGAGGTTCCCATATCCACACATCAGAAGACAGTCCTTACATGTTTTCAGTCATTACTTAAATCATACTAACTTAAGCCACCTCAAGTCCTGTAACACTGCTCCCAAACTGGCCTGGCCGATTGTTAAAATTAACCAGGGCAATTTGAAAAAATGCACATTCCTGGATCTCAATTCCAAACATTCTGAACCAATAGCCTGATGGTAGGATTCCATGAAATCTGCATTTCTTTCAAAATTCTCCAGGTGATTCCCATGATCAGCCAGCTTTGGGAATCGCTGGCCTGTCTGGTATGAATCCATCCTTGCCTCCCTGAGATTACTAGAAGGCAAAGAATCTGAATCCTGGGAACTTCTGACATGGAAGCATTTCAGCTTTGCACCTACAGACCCTTATTTGCATAAGTCTGAAGTTTTAAACATTTAAGTAGTCTTATCTTCTAATGTTATGTCAGTAGTAGACATTTGTGACTGGTGCTTCATGATAACCACGGAAAGCTGGAGACCCAATGTTTTGGTAAATTTGAGGGAAAAAACAATGGCAAGGAAATGCTATGGTTTTCATCAGCTTTTTCTTGCTTACAACTATATAAATACAGTTGACCCTTGAAAAACAGGGGCTTAAACTTTGAGCATCCACTTATATGTATTTTTTTCAAACAAATGCGGATAGAAAATAGAGTATTTGAGTGGTGTGAAACCCGCCGATATGGAGAACTGATTTTTGTATGTATGGGTTCCACAGGGCCAACTGTGGGACTTTATGTGCGAATTTTAGTATATGACAGGGTCCTGGAACCAATCCCTTGCATATACCAAGGGGCAACTGTAAATGTTAAAACAGCCCGGGATCAGAAAACAGCTGACTCGGGGAACTAACTGTGGAAACGTATAGCCGTGGCCTGTAAGGAAATAACAGACACAACAACGATAATTACAGTAGCATAAATAAGAGTTTTCCAACTGATATGAGCCAAGTTCATTAGAGTATCTAATTCAGCCTGGGGACAAGGTCAGGAAGAGCTTTCTCCAGCAACTGATATTTAAGATGAGTTTTAGCAAATGCAGCAGATAGCTTGATGGGGAGGAAAGGGTTAGCTAGCATGCATAGACAAAGCTTTGGAGGCAAGAAAAGATAATGGCACGGTTAAGAAAAAATTGGTAAAACTTAACCATTCTATGCCTTGATATTTACATCCATAAAAGGGCATAACAATGGTCCCCACCTCTTAGGGGAGTCACGAAGATTGGATTAGTTACTTAGCACAGTGTTTAAAACAATGAACTGTCAAGTACCGTGGGCTCAGTTAAAGTCAGCTAGTGTTATCCATTGTTTATTTTATATGGTATCAGAATGTGCGGGGAAAGATGCAAATATGTAATTCAAATATCATTTTTATGAATGTCTCGAATCGAAAACTTCAGAGAATGATGCTATTAAAAACAAAAGCCAACTGTGCGCCACGGAGCACTAAACAGCAGGGGCAAGAAGTAACGGTCTGTACCATTTTTAAAAATTGAACTTTTTTTTTTTCACAGAATGACATGTTTGTGAGAGTTCAGATATGATTCATGGCACGAAAATGACATTTGAGGTGCCTCTGATCGCCTCTGCCTGAAGAATATGAGTTAGTGTTAGAGCGTGCAGCTGGGTCTTTTCACTCCCGATTCAGGAGGGGACAGAAGGGAAGAGGCCAGGGCTTTTTGTGCACAGGCAGCAATTATACCCTGAAACCCAGAGCCCGACAGTCGCTGCTCCTGGGCAATCGACACTGCTTCCTGCTGCTGGCTGCTGAATGCCGCAGAGGTGATGGGGCCTGAAGGGAGCGAGTGAACAGGTGGTAATTATGACTGACACAATGTCGGCCTGCGCAGACATGTAACCACCGAACAAAACACGCAGTTAGCTAACAAGAGATCGGTGGAAGGTTTTTTGCTGGCACTGTGTCTCCTGTCTGACACTTCTGAAATTGGAGGGAGGGACGGGGAGGCGTTGTAAACCTTGGTATTCAGAAGTATAATAGGCCAACTGAGCTGAAGGGAGAATGCTTAACATTTGTTCCTTTTGCAGTGATTATATCAGCCACTGTTTTCATGTTGATTTGGCCATAGTGCTCTTTGCTCACAGTTTTTCCTTTTGAAAATGTGTCCTTTGGATCGTTTCTTTGATACAGCGCTGCTTTCACGCACACCCAGCATTTTGAGCAATTTTCAAACTGTTCATGTATTTCTGGATATTACAGTTCCTACTACATACAAAAGAGGTTTGATAGTACAGGCCGTCTTCTTCTCCCTCTGCCTTGAAGGTCCTGTGGATATACTTTGTCCCATTCTACAGATAAGGAAAAGAAATATTGGGGTGTGTTCTCCCATCAGTACTTCTGTTGGTTCTTGTAAAGTTGGTGGGCATCACTCTTGAGGAATGTCAACAGCTGAGTCTAAAATAAAACAGCTGAGTCTAAAATAAACAGCTGAGTCTAAAATAAAAAAAAAATACTGTTTCATTTTACATTCTAGAATATCCAACAAGTGCATTTGAAGATTGCTCTACAAGATTTCTTCCTCACATGAGTTTTCCTTGAAAAATGTTGTGGTCATCTCATCCCCTGTGCTAGTTTATCTGGTGAAGCCAATCCTAAGTCTCATTCATTGGTGTTGATGCCGTCTGACTGAACTCCAGCTCATATTCCAGGGTCCTCTCACAGCACATCCATATGCTAAAGAAAACAGTTTTAGGTTCTTCTCTAAAATACCAGACTTAGTTCCATCTACATGGCAACACGACATCAAACAGCTATTTGGGGAAGAATGAATGTGTCTTTGGATGTGGACAATAGTTTATTTATTAGCCCCTTTATCACTTTTTGTCCTGTCCTGAGAATAAGCCATTCAAAATCTACCTGAAATAATTGGCATGTTTTTGTCCCAATAATAACAAAAGTTAAAACATAATTTTATTCTTTTCCAATTCAGTTTGGAACTTTCCATCTTGTGGGTGCGTCATATTATAGTAAAAATTTTAAAAAGACATGTTCGCAGCTATTTGTGGAGTACTGGTGGCAGAGGAGGTCACGCTAATCTATTGCTGGTGGATGGTTTGTAGATCCATCCCAATTAAACTTCAGTTTCTTACTGTGAACTGTAAGTACCAAAATCTTTCTGCAAAACATCCCTTGAATTATGTTTTTATGTATTGGGCAGTGTTTCTCTGAATCGCTCTCCACCCTGTTTGTCTTTTGCTTTTAAGGAGGAGCCTTCATTTTCTACCCACCAACTCTCAGTATACTTTCAAGCTCTTTCTTTAATACTTTGCTTTATTCCCTCAAAATCAGCTTTATTAGCTACTTTCTATCACTGTGTAAAGATAACCACCAAATTTCTAACTTAAACTTGACATACAGATGGGTTTTTAATTGGATATATTTCCTTTATCTCAGATAAACATGTTTCAAAAAAGTTCTTCTCATGTGTCCCAATTATCACTCCTAACTGAAATTAGTTCTGTCTGTTGATTCTACTATTTTCTCATATTCTTTCAAGCTTACCACCATTGGCATTGCCTTTGATGCTTTCTGTTATTTTATTCTCCTATTCTTACACTTAACTGTATCAGAGATTTGTAGTTTGAAGGAAACCTAGAAACTGAAACCAATACTTCTACAACTGAGAAAATTTCTGCCCAGATAAAGTCAGCTATCAAAGAATGCCCCAACCCTCTCAGAGCTAGCAACAGAACTGGGACTCATTCATCCATGTAACAAGCATTTCTAGAACATATGCAGTGGGCCAGGAGCTGTCCTAGGTGCTGTGAATACAAATAGGAATATGAATCCCTGACTTCTCCGTACTGCAGATCTAGTTCAGGAGATAAGTCAAAACAGATAACTAAAGAATAATTTTTATAAGGGCAGCAAGGAAGTGGACAGGGAACTATTATAAGAGGTTTATGTAAGAACATCTTAGGGTGAGAGAAGGGGAAGGCCAAGAGAGAGGCAGAAACTCACTCTTTCTTCTGACCTATCCCTCATACTTGTCATACTAGACAAATCTTCCTAATACAAAACAATTAATGTGAAAGCTCCAAAACTGCTTAGGGACAATTGATATTGGTGAAGCCAGAGGATTTACATAATAAACCATGTTTTTATTTTTATTGTATCTTTATTTGAGGATGACTTGAAGGTGCATTTTATATAGCTGTTTTATTAATTAAACAAGTTCAATTCTGTATTATGCAAATAGAAATAAGCTTCGTATTTTCTATTACATTCTTTTCAAATAAGTTTCCTGGACTTACTTTTTGCTGATCATGAATAAAATGTCCATTCATCTTTTGGGGTCAAATGGCCCCTTCAGGTGGCCTTGTTGGGCAAGACAACTTTTAAGATGGCTCCCAGTTGGCACCTTCTGTTGGGCCCTTGTCTTGTCTGGAGACAGGCCCCCTGCCCTGCTGCTGGGAGTGGACTTCTCATTGAGAACTCACGCCTCTTTTTCTCAGCCAGCTTCCACCAGCAGTCATGTTTACAGAGTCCTTGAGTGCTCCGAACTCCAAGAGACGTGGCAAGCTCCCTACTTGTTCCTGTGAAGCTCCCTCCTTCAATTGGCTTTAGGGAAGAGGACACATGTCCCCATCTCTGCCAGGGGTGGTGACGAATGTACAGCATATTGACCACTGTCTCTGAGCAGTCTTCATGATCAGCATCTCCCACACCTCTATTTAGAAGGCTGGATCACAACCCACTAGCATGAAGCAGATGGGTCTCATGCGTAGCTTTATACCGGGAGATACTTGATACCTATTATATTGTCTTCAGCTTCTGAGGCCCCAGTGGAATGAAACAGAGACCTCAGGAGGAATCACAGTTACTATACTATTATATAGGAGGAAATTCTACTCTAGCTGGAAGAGACTTAGGGGACTTCTGTATTTATCTGTTATTTGGGGTGATTCGTGGTAGGACAAAATCACTTTGAGGGCAGCCAAAACACCTTCCCCCAACCGCAGCCAAGCAGTCCTTGATGAACAACTCAACATCAGTTCCATAACTCCCCTGCTGAGAAAATTATTACAACACCCTTTTCTTATCAGGAGCAAAGTCTTGGGAGCAAATTATTTTGCCAAAGTGTATGGGTATACCTAATTCAACCAGGCCTAACTATCCAATTTTATTCCCAATTCTCTATGACATGGAGTGTTCTCCTTCTTTCTTGAAGCGCATCTAGTATAAATTGTCTAAATGGGCATACTAGTATCCTTCAAAATTCCTTCCTCTCCATCATGTATTTGGATTCACCATGAAGACCATTTGCTAATAAGTGAATAAAAGATGGATAAAATGCCTTTAATCAAACCAACAGTCACCACATTTCAAGAAGCAGTGACATAGATTTGAATAGGGGTTTTATTGGATTTTTTTTTAGAGGCATTCAAAAGTTGAAGTTTCCAAGGAAATACTTTGGGGCCAGGGCTCTCGGCAGTGGATTCCAAGGTTACACTCATGGCCTATACAGCATAAAAACATAACTAATTAGCTTAACTGGTAGATCTCCTTATATCATTAATGTTACCGGAGAAATTCAAGACAGATCAATGAGAGACCCAGAGTCTTACTTTGTTTAATGATTTTGAAGTGCATGAAAGGTGGGCTACAACAAACACGGTAGGTGAGATATTTGGAGTGGAATTATAATTCTTAGCTTCAAAAAGACTAAAGAGAAGAGAGTGAGGTGAGGCCAAAAAAGAGGTTTAAGGCCTTTGAGTTTTGAAATTCAAGCCATATATTAAATACATTACATTCCACACAATAGAAAATTACAAGGGCCTCAGACAAACATTTTAATTCCGGAGAGTTCATAGTAAGTCGATATGAGGATGTGGAACAGCAGCTCCTGGCGAGCCAAGGGCCTTCTGCCCCTGGCCCTGACAGCCAGGGAGGGCTGCATCTGGGTGCCTCCATCTGCTCTTCCGCCAGGCTGCCGGATTCCACCCGCACACCATGCCGTCTGCTATCCTGTGCTCCCTCGCACTACTTGGCTGGCAAGTTCTAAGAAGATAAGCTTTAAAGTGCAAACGTCAGGGCTAAAAGAGTTTCTCAGATATCAAATGGACATATTTTTCAACTCAAAGAATCAAATATAAACGATGACCCAGAGGAAATTCCCTTTAAAACAGACTAGCAAGAGAAAACATTCTGCCAGTTTTCATCATCTTGTTCTTCACTACCCCCAAACATTTGGAAAGTGATCTAGATCTTCTGTGGGAAGAAGCCACTGGCTGTATCTGCTTTGTATTAATAAAACTTATGTTTCTGTATTTCTCTAAAAGTGAGGAGATTGTCTTCAATTAAACAAGTAGGTAAGGGAGGGTGTACCCACAGTTCTAGTTGCAGAAACAGTTGAATGAGAATTAAATAACAAGTCAGACAGATGATACTATACAAGGCAGGTCTTGAAATTAGTTGTTTTATCTGCATGTCACTGTGTGTCTTTGTTGCAGCACAGCTGAAGTTGGCTGACCCACTTGATCTTTCTGAGTTTCAACTACACTTTCTGCAAAATAGCAGTATTTGTTTCCCAGGGTGGTAAGGAGTAAGCAATCTCTTTGAACATGACTGTAGTAGGTATCTTACTGGTATTAGTATTCCTTATTTTTCTCCTTTTACCAAGGGCACATGTGTAAGTGGATTACACATATATAGGTGGATCCTACTTCAGCTGGGCTTTTGTCTACCTCAGTGATTCTCAAACTGACTGCACTTTATACCTGGCTGGGAAGATTTTTTAAAAGACTATTGGCCACACCCCACTCCAGACCAATTAAATAAGATTGTCTGGGAGTGGGACCTAGGCACTGGTATGGGTTTTTTTTTGTTTGTTTTTGTTTTTGTTTTTTTTGAGACAGAGTCTCGCTCTGTCGCCCAGGCTGGAGTGCAGTGGTGCAATCTCGGCTCACTGCAAGCTCCGCCTCCCGGGTTCACGCCATTCTCCTGCCTCAGCCTCCCGAGTAGCTGGGACTACAGGCGCCCGCCACCACGCCTGGCTAATTTTTTGTATTTTTAGTAGAGACGGGGTTTCACCACGTTAGCCAGGATGGTCTCAATCTCCTGGCCTCGTGATCCACCTGCCTCGGCCTCCCAAAGTGGTGGGATTACAGGCGTGAGCCAACGCGCCCAGCCGGCGCTGGTATGTTTTAAGTCTCCCAAGTGATTCTGATGTGAAGCCAAGGTTGAAACCTGCTGACAATATCTCTAAGCCCTTTCTCTGCAATGTAATTTGTTAGAATATTTGTTCCCCACTTTCTAATACAATCACTGGTAGCCATGCATGGCCATGAAGCACTTGGAAAGGGACTAGTCTTAATTGGCACACACTAGAATGTACCACAAGCAGAAAATATGCTCCGGATTTCAAACACTTAATATAAAAATGAATGTAAAATACCTCATTAATAATTTTTATAATGACTGTTGAAATGATATTATTTTGGATATTTTAGGTTAAAGAAAATGTATTATTATAATTAATATGACTTATTCCTCTTCACTTCCTTATGAGGCTACTAGAAAATTTAAAATTACCTCTGTGCCTCACGTTGTATTTCTAGTGCACAGATCTGCTGTAGATCAAGGATCTGAGAATGGAAGTATCCGCCTCAGCTGGGAATGTATTAGAAATGCAAATTATTGGGTACCACCCAGACTTAACTGTGTCTGAGACTCAGAGCGTGGGTTCAGCAATCTGTTTTAATAAATCTCCCAGGGGATTTGAGATGTGTTAAATTTGAGACCCACTGCCCTAGATAATTGTCAAATCATGCATGCCTTTTCAACTGAGTCTCTCTGTTCTCTTGCAATGGGTCTACAATTTGTTTAGGAATGAAATGCCAAGTGGCTCTCTTTACAGACCATCTGGAGACATCAGAGATAAGGGAACACTGTACCTAAGAACTGCTTCTTCTTTATGGGTATATGGAAAACTTTTATTGAACTGAAAAAGAAAATATGTACTATTGTATTTAAATAAAATCTTAGACTTGATATTCTTGAATTTCTGTTTATATTTTTAATATTGTCTACCTAAATTTTGTTTAGAATCTGTTAAATATCAATAACCTTTGTATGGGAAACCATTAAAAAATAAAATACATGCTACAGAATTTGTATGGCACTAGATATAATCATCAAGAAAGGTATGGATTGTTTCCCTTCTGAAGATGACATCCTTGGTCTCTGGCTTATTTACTTGTTCCCTGAACTATAGGTTTATGCTCATAAGCTCTGTCTGCTCTCTCCAGAGCATGTTAAATCTCATCTGCCAACCCCTTTGTTATCTCTCTTTCAAAAAGGAAAAAGAAAATGATTCAAGGTCAAGTAGCTCCCACATTGCACACAGTTTAACCTAATTTGCCTTAAAGGAGATTTGAATTCTCAAAAATAAGCCTAAATTGGAAGCTCGCAAATTAAACACTGACATTCAGTGAAAGGTAAGAGCTGTGTCCTTCTAAATAGAAAGAACAGGTATTCCAACCACATCAGGAAGCTCTCAGGGTCACGAGAGGCCACCAGGCATTAAGAACCAGATGCTTTGCTGTGGTGTGAGGAGACTGTCCCCAGGCATGCTAATGGGAATGGCAGCAGCTGTACCTGACCACTGATGCAGATGGAGAGCATGACAGACCCACAATGGAGTTCCCCCAAGTAAAGGGAAACAAGAGATCAATCTCACTAATCCATAATTTTATCTAGATCATATTGCCTGGACTATCGCCACCTGCAAATTAATAATCTGAGAACAATAAATAGAATGCAAGGAGTCCCCAGTCATAGCTCTACCCATCAAAACCTGTGGGCATTGCCACTACAAAAAGTTAGCAGGTCATGAAAATTCAGCCACATAAGAGAAAAACCATCTCACCTGAGTCAAATGAAAATGACAATATCATCTACACTAAGTGCAAAACACCATTAACATTGCTTTCATTCTTTAAAAGATTCTTTTAGAGTATCAGCTAAGCAATGTAGAGTAAGAGTTAAAAACTAAGGCTCCTGAATCTGCCTGCCCTGGGTAAGAGACCCAGTTCTGCAACTTGCAAAGTACAGGACCTTGAGAAGTTAACTTCTGTTAAGTGTCAGTTCTTACTTGTAAAACTGTCTTGCTGCCATGTTTCCCATGCAACTATTGATAAGACTAAAAGAGATGATGTATTTTAAATGTTTAATCTGGTACCCAACACACAGGAAACACCCAATCAATGGTAGATATTACTTTAAGAGCTATTCCTAGCATCAATACAATCCCTTTGTTATGTCCAAAATGCACAGTCTCAAACATATCCAAGAGAGAATCAATATTTTTTTAACTGTCTACTGTGCGCAGGGCATTTCATGTTATTTTACCCTCACAACACACCTAAAAGGTAGACATTACTCTCTTCCTTTTATAGGTGGGATAAGAAAGCTCAAAGGTATTAAACAACTTGCCCAAGACCACACAGGTAGAAAGAGAGAGAGGCAGAATTTATGCTCAAGTCTAGTTGGCCCTAAAATGTAGTCTTTTTATTGTATCATGTAGTCTACTTGGAATTCTTAACATTGAGGGAGAAAAAAAACCCACTGTTGCTTTTCAGAGGGGAGGAGATATTTTTCTATTTTTATAGATAGTTGAATTTTAACCAGAATGAGTAGAAGTGCATTATGTTCAGAAATTTGTAAAGTTTTTTCAGGTTTCATTTGGGTACTCTGAGACTTAAGGCCCTTAAGCTCTGGGCTAATACTGGGTGCCATCCAACAGCAACAGGAAAACTAGCTCTCGAGAGATCTGATATATCAGAACAGATGCCCAGTTGCATATACATTTAATTTTAACAAATAGTTTTCATAACTATAGGATTTTCTATATTTATTAAAAAAAATCTGGCACATGAGAAAATATCAAATTGTGCTATTCCACCTCCATATGTGCCAGTTATCTATAAATATAGAAATGCAATAATTATCACTAAAACTGTTACTTGTTAAATTTTTAAAAACAGATAAATTATGAATATGGATTTGAAAAATAGTTTAAGGAGTTAAGAAATGGATAAGAATCTAGAATCACTGGCTGTAACTCAGATGGGATCCTGAAAGCCACCTAGTCCAGACGCAATGTTTGAATGCATTCCACAAAGTGGGTTTTAGGCATTTGCTTAAACACCTCCAGTGACAGCAAGCTCAGTATCTGTAAAGACTCTCATCTGCGGTTGGATCCCATTATTTGTTGACACTGTCTTCCTTATGTGAATGCAAATTCTGCTAATGTCAATGCTACCATGTATGGAGCCACCATAATATGGCAGGCATCCTGGAAGCAGCATTTGATTCTTTACCTCCTGGAATCTTTAACACAATCTTATGAAATACTCACGTGTTCGCATGAGATGTATTAGTCAAGATGCTAAACATGCCACAGCTATCAGTGGCCTGGTCCTCGTCTGCACACCAGGGCTTGCTAGTGACATGTCTGTCACAAGTGGCATTGGAGCCAGCTTGACCCACTAAAGTAGGATAAGTCAAATTCAATCCTATTTCCACAGAAAACTTCCCCAAATACATGGTAGACACCTATCGTGTCTCCATATGCATCCTCTCCTTCGGGTTAAACGTGCCTAATCCGTCATCATTTTGTGCTCATAATAAAATTTTGCATTTTTTCACCTTTTTGGAAACTCTCATATTTCTAATGTGTTTGTTTTGTTTTCAAGCATTATGACCAGAACCAGATACGATACTTCAGGAATGACCCAAAGAATGAGGAATAGACACAGCCATCATGTCCTCACTCTGGATACTCTAGTTCCATCAAGGCAAACTTCTAGCTTTTATTACAACCCCATATTGCCCTCAACTCTTACCATCTTTAGAGTCAATAAACAATCCAAATCTCTCTTGTTGTTGGTGCTCCATCTAACGCCTCCTCTCATTCTAGAAAATTGTCTAACCATGTCATTCACATGGGAGGTGACTGCTTTTTACATACTAACCTCCATGGCTATTCCATTTGGCCTAGAGTGGTACTTAATCCAGGCCAAGTAAAATCCTCCTAAGAAACTTTTTTTCTGACTGAGGCAAGAAAATTCTTTCCTTTTTGTTGACTAAACTAGAAATACATAAGTTCAAGAGTTGTTAGAGACCAGAGCTCCTCCCATGTAGAGAAACTAAAAAATGCACAAGGAGAATCAGAAACAAGACAAATTGAGAGATTTCCAAAAGCACTCAAGTTCTGAGGACCCCACGATTTGCTTACAATAGCCCAAACCCCCTCTTTTGTGTTTAAACAATGAAAGTTAGGTTTCTGTCACTGGCAACCCCAGGAATCCTGACTAATTCACTTCTATATCTCTGCTTAAAAAGCTGGTAGTTTGTATTCAAATACCACAGCTAACACGTATTTAATATTTTTAAGATTCAGGCCATGTTTCCAGAGTATAAAAATATTTTGGGATCCTGTTTTTGTTATTCTTTCCATCTACATATCATATATACATTTGATTGCTTAGTTATCAGAGTCCTTGTCCAAGTAATTAACAAAAACAATCGCATAGGGCAAGGCTGTATGACAGACCCCAAGTCAGCCAGAAGACCCCCACATCAAAACTGAATTACTCTATCCATCAGCAGTGTTCCTATGGCTTAGCTGTTCTGTCAAGAACTGAGTTCAAGTGTGGATTTTCTTACAGCTAGTCTACAGTGCCAGCCACCAGGCACCAAAGACAAGCTTTCTTCTCTATAAGCAAGTATTCCCATCACTGACGTGCCTTCCAGGATTGTAAAACATAATGGAAATAAATGACAATGTAATTTATAAATATCAAGCACTGGGTTGAACAGAGAGAGAAGATAAGTTTATGACTTGGAGAGATTGAGTTCTCACTTCATAGATGAAGAACTTGAGCTTATCATCATGCAGTTTGCTAAATGTTTGAACTTTTTAAATTTTAAAATAATGAAGGTGAAGAATTAAAATGCTTTTCAGTATCTATTGAAATAGTCAGATGGTTTTCCTTATTCAGCTATGCGCTTTTTCAATAAAAGAAAGCAATTCCTCTTTAATAATACTAGAACCAGAGCTACCTCATGATGGATTACCTGGGGGTGGAGGAAAGGGTATTGAAAGTGAGGAGAAGATGGTAAAAGTATAAGGAATATAACCAAAGATAAACTTAATGCATTTCAAAGTAGCACAGTGTCAGCTTTGTCTAGAATTTGCCCCCATGCACAGGGAAAACATGAATGGGTCTTGCAGAGAGAGAAGCTCGGGTACAAGCCCCTCCACCCTTCCCACCTGAATGTTGGTGTAATAATGTCTACTTCACAGGGCTGTTGTGAGACATAAATGGTTATAGTATCTAAAGAATGTTGCCCAGTGCCAGGCACATAGTAGTTTCTCAATAAACGTTACTTCTCTTTCCTCCCTACTTTATTTCTTCTAATGATAATATATAAAAATACAAAAAAATGCCCACATTCACTTTAAAGAAGTAGGCACAATTCATTTTACAAAATTAAATGTGGTATATGTGTACAATGGAATATTATTCAGCCTTTAAAAAGGAAGAAAATTCTGACACATGCTACAACCTGGATGAACCTTGAGGACATCACTCCAAGTGAAATAAGCCAGTCAAAAAACACAAACACTGTATGATTCCACTTATATAAAGTACCTAGAGTAGTCAAATTCATAAAGACAGAAAGTAGAATAGTGGTTGCCAAGAGCTGAGGGAGGAAGGGAATGCGAAGTTATAGTTTATTGGATATACAATTTCATTTTGGGAAGATGAAGAAGTTCTGGGGATGGATGGTGGTGATGGTTGCACAACGATGTGAATGGACTTAATGCCACTGACCTGTGAAGGTGGTTAAAATGGTTATGTTATGTATATCTTACTGCAATTTTAAAAATTATCTTTTAAAAAAAAAACTTTGTGGAGTTGTTTGATTCTTGTCAATTCTGAACTAAAAATTTAATCTCGGGATTTCTAAGTCATATATTTCTCCGTCTATAAAATCCCCATAAAGCCTGAGGTTGGTTTTGTTAGAGGCCTGCAGTGCATCTTCTTGGCTGGAGCAGAGCACAGCATGGATGCAGAGGCAGGGCCTGCTATGAAGGACTGGTGGCTTCATCTTTGTCCAAGAGCCTGCAATTTGCAGTGGCCTATGGAGCCGCCGCTATTCTGAGCTCAGTGGCGCTATTCTGAGCTCAGCTGATCCTTGTAGCTCCAATACCTTCACTTATGTCTGCCTCCTCAGTACTGATTCTGGGCCTGAGAGAGTCAAAACAGCAAGTTTCATTATTTTTGTATTTTCTTATTCAATTTACCCTAATTGCACATTTGCAATAATATTTCTATCATCATAATTTTTTTTTAAAGTATTTCAGGGCCAGGCACGGTGGCTTACACCTGTAATCCTAGCACTTTGGGAGGCCAAAGTGGGTGGATCACCTGAGGTCAGGAGTTCAAGACCAGCCTGGGCAACATGGTGAAACTCCATTTCTACTAAATGTACAAAAATTAGCCAGGGGTGGTGATGCTCGCCTGTAATTGCAGCTACTTGGGAGGCTGAGGCAGGAGAATCACTTGAACCCAGGAGGCAGAGGTTGCAGTGAGCTGAGATCGTGCCACGGCACTCCAGCCTGGGCAACAGAGCGAGACTCCATCTCAAAAAACTTTTTTTAAATAAATAAATAATAAATCAAAAGCATATCAGTTAACATCTTAATATTAGGGGAAAATCTTACTAGTAAAATACTGATCAATGTGGCTCACAGTAATTGCTACCTCCTCTAAACTCTTAGCACTTACTGTCAGTACTATTCAACTGGCATCTAGGGCTGTGTGACATATCTTTTTTGTTGTCTTGTATTGTCATCTATCACTGCATCAGATTCGTTAAATTCACTAACAAAATTTGACCCCATCATTGCCTTGGGCTTCATTGTGCATCTCTTGGCTATAGAAGAAAGACACATGCAGGACTTTTCTGTGATTGCTCAGCATATTTTCTCTGGATTTTCTGTCTAAACCAGGGCAATAGAAATTGCCACTTAAGATTTGCAGTCTCCAGCCTCTCTCTCTATTCTGCTGCCAGAGTTACCTATTTAAAACGCAAGTCTGGTCATATCATATATATGCTTAAAATACATCCATCCATTTATTTTCTTAGTACATATTTCTTGAGCAATGTCTAAGTAGACCATGAGTTGATCCCCAACTCAGAGCCAGGGCCTGAGTTGGTTGCTGAGGACACCTAGATGAGAAGACTCTCGTTCTCAAGAAGTTCATGGTCTAGTGAAGAGACTGGCATGACACCAACTGCAATATAATGTGATTGGGGGCAAATAGAAGTGAACACAAGACACCTTAAGACTTAAAGGAACATGGAGTATGAGGGTTTAGGGAAGGCTTCATGGAAAATGTACCTTCCCATCGGATCAATCTGATGTTGGGAATCTCCATTTCCCCTTGGCCTCTCCTTGCCTCCTTTGGACTTCAATACTGGAAGGTTGGAATTAGGCATAACTATCAGTGTCCACAAGACAGAATCTTCAAGACAGCACTTCTGAGGCAACTGATTTTTCAAAATGAGCAAAATACTTGAAGTACTCCATAGAAAAGCTATCCAAATGGCCAATAAGCACATGAAAAGATGCTTAATGGAAGATGTGTATATTTATCAGGAAAATGCAAATTAAAACCACAATGAGATACCACTACACACTTGCCAGAACGGCCCAAATTTAAAAGACTGAACATACTAAGTAATGGTGAAAATGTAGAACATCTGGATCTCTTCTCCATTGGTGGTAGAAAGGTAAATTAGTACACACACTGGAAAACTTTTTGACAGTGTACAAGACTGGTATAAGAATATTCATAGCAGTTTCTTCATGAAAGCCAAGATTGAAAACAATTAAACTATCCATCAACAGTAAAATAGGTAAACATAATCTGGTGTATTTATACAATGGAATAACTAAACAGCAACAATAAAGAACAAACTTATACAATACACAGCATCATGAATGAATCTTATAATGCTGAGCCAAAAAATAAGCCAAAATATAAAAGAATTTAAAAACAGGCAAAACTAATCTATGGTAATAAGAGTCAAAATAATGGTAAGCTTTAGGAGGTGTCTACTGGAAGGAGGTAGGATTTTATAACCTCATTTGTGTGTGTAGGGAGGGAATTCATCAAGCTATACACTAAATATTTGTACACTTAATTGTATACAGATTATTCCTTAGCAGAATCAATTTTTTAATGATTACTGCCTTTGAGCCCTGGGTATGTGAGTTGCCCCTGCCCTCTGCCTGTTGGAGTCTCTACATACAGCCCAATGCCTGACCTAGCACTGGGGGCTACTCTGTCCACAGTGGGCTGTGAGAGTTTGTATCCAGGAATCCACATTGTTTTCTATATATGCACTAAAACTTTTAGGCTGTGTTAAGGGATGGCACACCTTTGATAATCACCTCTCCTATGTTGTGGATAGAAGCTCTATGATATTAAGAGACAGCATCAATGAACAACTGTTCCCCTGATAGAAGCAACATTGTAAGGAGAACTTGGACAGGGACAACCTCTTCCCAGCAAGGAGGAAGGACACTCTGTTCTGTATCACATATAGTTCCTTTGCATATTTCAAACACTGGCCTTCAAGTCAGGGGACAAGGCCCAAATTTCCTCTTATAAAGTAATTCTGCAGCCAAATTTGGTAGGGCAGAAGTTTGTTACAGGAATTCTAGGTCTCTGACCAGCAGTGGTTGAATGCTCTCCATCTTCTTAATTGAATGAGAAAATATCCGTAAATCTGAAATACTGCAGCAGTGTCACCAAGAACGGTTCCTCACTCACAAGTAGTGTTATTGATTGGGCTGTGTCAATTCCAAGGCCTTACAGAGCAGATACAATTAAAGCAATAATAGCTGAGGACAGAGATTTTGGTGACATAATTGTCTCATGGGACTTTCTCATCTGCATTGACTGAGTCAGTGTAAGATAAATCATCAAGTCCAAAAGACCTGAAAGCTTCCAGACTGGCACACTGCAGGAGAACTGTATGCGGCTCCCTGTGTCCCACCAGGAGTCCTCCAGCACGTGAGTAGAGCTTACCTCCCCCCTCCAGTCCCAGCTCAGCCCCCGCAGAGCAGCATGCATATACCCCTACGTGGGACATCTTCTTTCTGTGGGTGTCCTTAAACACACCTTCAAATGTGGGTCCAGATAAAAATATTAAAGACAGAAAGACATCACGTTGGCCATCATCCTATAGTTTATCCTTCTTTGAACTGTTTTCCCATCAGGACAGAGAGGGCTCTGTATTCTTAGAACAACTCCAATACCCACCTCCTTCCATAGGTGAACCATACCCATGTGGACACCAGCTTCCAATACAAAACCATGAGAATGACTAATGTCAATATGACCCACATATATTTCAATCATTATCAGACCTGATGATATGCAAAACCAAAAAGAGGGTGAATTTTTCAAATTTTCCCTTATTTGAAGCACCATTCTTATCAAATGAAAGAGAATGTTGCCCCCGAGGTGAACAATGACACTCGGATCTCCTGGTGCTCCTTGGCTATCTATGTCACCACAGCAAGCAGGAGTCAGGAATCTTGGGGTGGCTCTGCTGACCCTAAGAATCTTGGTGCAGGAGGGTTTGTTTTTCTTTGTGTCCCTCAATGCCTCATATTCTTCATTTTTCCTTTCACTGGTCCAGGACTCCCTGTCTCTTTTAGGTATCATTCTACCACCAAAGAACCTATGAAATGCTTCACGTGACATCAGCTAACCACTGCCGATGCTAACTTGTAATAGACGTAGGTAACAGCTCAAGATGTGAGGATGAACTCGAGCTGTGATAATAGCTCCATGATGGGCATACTGGCATTTTAGAAAAGACTGTGGAGAGCCTCCATGGCCTTTACCCCCAAGACACCTTTCTACCACTTTTCTCTCTGGGCTCTCATCTGTTGAGACAGATAATACCATCTGCTGACAGTGCCCTCTCTGCCTCCTAAAGTCTTGGGTAATGGGTGAATTTTCAGTGTCTACCAGAAGGAGTGATGAACCTGCATGAAATTACTTGAAAAATACATGTTGTACCAATAGATTAGCAGAGCCTAAGCCTCGACACAGGGTACTACCTATCTGCACTACATCCATAGCAGAATTACAGAGGAAAATTTCTAGGATGTGCATATTACCTCTTTGCAGGGAAGTCACAAGTAAAGATTAAGGTACCTAGCTAGAGTTAATACTGAAACATCGAGTGATTCTGTGCTGGCCCAAAAGTCAGGCTGTTCAAGGCCTTCTGGTCCTACTGCAAAGCTGGCCAACACACTTGTTAGATACACGAATACGAATTCATGTCTTCTCTGTTTTCTGTAATTACAGAATGGGCAGATGATGTGAAGGTAAGTCAGGATGGGAATGACCGTGTGCGTATGCCAGACTTTGAGGTCTCCATGGGAAAGGGGAGAATGCAGATGTGACCTGGCCTGAAAACTCCATGTTCTGACCTGCCTGAAACTCTCTTCTTCTGCTTCAGCAGGGCTGTCTGTGCCATGCACCATGCCAGATTTTGGGGATAACGAGTTCAGTTTTTGACAGCTTGAATGTGAAATACCAGAACACAACTGGAAATACTAGAGAGGAGTTCAGGCATGAGGTCAGGACTAGAAATATGGTTGGAAAGTCATCCGTGGAGAAGGCATGGATGAAGTCATGAGCATAGACAAAACTGCCCAGAGAAAGCGCACAGAATGGGGAGAGAAGCAGGGTGGGGGACTTCAAGGGGAGTGTCCACATTTAAGTAGAGGATAAAGCGAAAAGAGCCAGTGAAGATAAAATGAGTATCAAAGAAGTCAGATGTAAGCCAGCAGAAAACCAGAGTGTCAAGGAGGAAAAGTTAATACTGGTGTCAGACTATAGCGAGGCCAGGACTGAAGAAGGTGAAAGCAAGTGATTTGATCTGGCAATTAGGAGCTGATCATTGTTGGCCTTTCCCAAAGCAATTTCTAGTGGGGTGGGGGCATGGCAGTGGCGGAATCCGATCGTGTTGATGAGTCAAGTGTAGCTCAAGAAATAGAGGCATTTGTTTTAGAGGGAGTTTGAAAAGGATAATAGTTGAGGGAGACACAGAGGTTTTTGTAGGATAGGTTTTTCTCCTAAGATGAGGGAGATCTAAGTGTGTTTATAGCCGGAGGGGGAAGGAGCCAGTGTACACAAAGAGTAATTGAAGATTTAAGAAAAAGAGGTAATAATTGATGTAGCAGAGACTTTGGGGAAACAAAAGAAGATAGGATTGAGAGTCCACAAATGCAGGATGAGCCTGCAAAAGAGTGAAGGATGGGAAAGAAACAAAACTAAACAAAACAAAAGCCAAGCTGGTAAATCAGAGGCCAGGAAGTAGGTAGAATTATTTACCCATGGAATTTCAAGGTAGCAGAGAAGGAAAACAAGAAGAGAGCTAGTGGGTTCCATTGCTCAGAACTTCTCTATTCTCCCAGTTTGAGTAAGACCCCGGAACCAGTGGGTGGGAGGAGAACATTGGAGGGAAGGCCCTATGGGGCCCACAATCAGAAAGCAGGATTTCTGAGTAGATTATTTCAGAGGTAAAAGTTTACCATATTTCCTCATGTAGTCATGGGAAACACAAAGGCTTTCTCTAACCCTATGGGAAACCCAGCACTATAACAGCCAATCGGGGAGGAAGTGAAAGTTTTGAATCAAGATTTGAAGACAAGTAGGAAATTGATGGACATTATATATTGATGAGCACACCACATTACTCAGTCCTAGTTTTGCAAGTCCACGACTGACACTCATGTTAATTTACTGAGCAGGCCAAGGTTGGGCCTGGAGAATTGAATACAATAACACCAGAACACGGAAAAGACTTTACCCAACATCACTAAATGTCACTCGTCCTGATTTTTATTTTAGTGCCTTTCATTTGTGTTTTCCTATTTCTGAGTGTGTATTTGCCGCACTAAGTACACTTTCTATCTTTTTTCTTTTTATCCTATTTTAATATTTTTCCATTTTAAAATGTTTTTTATATAACTTCATTTGCCATCTCTCTGCAAAGCCATGAACTCTAGGACAGCTGCTGAAAATAAACATGCTTGGGGAGAACAGAGAAAAAGAAGAGCCAGGAACAATTCCACTCAGTGTAGTCCTCCCGTCCTTGTTCCAGGGTAACTCTTGATACATCCCCTTTGCCCATTCATTTCCTCTAACCCACCCTAGGGGTGATGAATGTGATCAGTAATGGTTTGAAGGGAAAATGTTTTTGCCTCTTGTCTTTTCTCCATCTAATCCTGTCTTTGAATTAGTCTGCCATTTACTGAATATGATGTTATTTCCGTGAACTCCTCTTAGGGGGATGCAGGAAACATCCCAAAGAGAAGCTTTGGGATGACTACCTTGAGCTTCCAAATATATAATCCCTCAAATCATACTTGGGATGCCACCAGGATCAAGAAACCGGGACTACGGAGTGACAGCTAGCTCTCTTTCCTCTCTACAAGCCAATAGGAACATAGCTGGGTCCTTTAACTCACTCCCAATGTGTCACCAATTCAGGGAGTCACTTCCTGAAAGCCAACTATGACAACACAACTCCTTGCCTTCTAACCCTGGGGGCCCTTAAGAGAGACCTGAGACTTGCCATTTTTTCTTTGCAGGGTCATCAATCCAGTGCCTTTTGTGACAACTAAATTCACTGGGAAAAAAATTCAAAATGATTTCAGTGGCAGGCAGCTACTGAAATTTTCCAAATGTACTTTTTTAGCTCTCTATTTCCCTTAAGCCATATGATGTCATTTGCCTCTCAGTCCCTGAGTGCCAAAAATTCTGCTTTCATATCTCTGAAATTTGCCAAACTATAAAAACCTCAGATCTCAGTTTGGGTTTTTATCCCCCTCGCCAAAAAGGCAAAAAATTACTTTCCACACTTTCAAAGTAAGAATATCAGTCACACACACACACACACACACACACACACACATAAAAATCTCAGTTCACAAATCCAGTAAGTCTTTTACGGTGTGTCCCCCTGTTTGGACTAATGGGCTGCCCTAATTTTATTCAGAATTTTTACTTCAATAGCTTGTCATCTGCTGCTTCAGGACATACCTAAAAATCCTGACGCTCCCGACTTGACAGGTAACTAGGAGACTGATTTGCAAATGCAGTTTTACTTTGCTTTAGGACGTATTCATTAGTGATTTTTGAAGTTAGAACATTTTCCCACTGATTTGGAAGATTCGTAGATTCTTGTTATGTATTTACCGAAGCTTTTTAGTTCACCTAAGAGAGAGAGAGAGAAAGAGAGAGAGGCAGAGAGAAAGCCTGCTTCCCTTTCTAATTACAGTCCCATTTCCTTAGCAAGTCCTTGAAAAAAGAATTCCCCAAGTCTCTAATCATCTCTCTAGTCGTAATCTCCATAATTGTGTCCCTTCCAGATTCCTTCTTGGCACAGCCCAGAGACTGATTTGCTCCATGTGGTTAAAAACCTTTTATTTTATGCCAGTTAGGACTTGTTTTCACGGCTTGCCTTCTTGGGCCTTAATGCTACATTGGATGCCATTGATCTTCACAGGCTCCTTTTCTATCCCCAGTGAGTGATTGTAGCCCTTGTTTCATCTTCTTAATGGAGGGGTCGACTAAACCTGTCTGACGGGATTCTAACTACAGGGTTCCACTAGGGTACCGCCTCTGCTTCATTTTCTTTTCTCCATTTAGTTGATCAGTTCAATATAAAACCATTATGAAGAGAATTATTTCTGCCATAACATTGCCTCAAATAAAAAATGGGGTTCATTGGTCTTAATTCATCCTTAGACTATTGGTTCTGAACCTTGGACAATTTTACCCCCACTCTTGCCCCCAGGGGACACTTAGCAATGTCTGGAGACATTTTCAGTTGTCACAACTTGGGGGAGAGGCTGCTACCATCATGCAGTAAGTAGAAGCCCAGGGATACTGCTTAACACCCTGAAATGTATGGGACGGCCCCCCAACAAAGAATCATCTGGTCCCAGTGTCAGTAGCAAAGAGGCTGAGAAACCTGCTGTAGACGAAGCATGACCCAACCACCACATAAGCCCAACGATTTTCTCTGATTTCTCTGTGTCCCCGCCTTCTAGGAGACTGCCTGGAGCATGATCATTGTTTGTTGATGAGCCTATGGAACTTAAAAAAAACTCTCCCTCTGGCCAGGCATGGTGGCTCATGCCTGTAATCCCAGGACTTTGGGAGGCCAAGGCAAGCAGATCACGAGGTCAATAGTTCAAGTCCAGCCTGGCCAACATGGTGAAACCTCGACTCTACTAAAAATAAAAAAATTAGCTGGGCATGGTGGTGTAGGCCTGTAATCCCAGCTACTCGGAAGGCTGAGGCAGGAGAATTGCTTGAACCAGGACTGGGGAAGCGGAGGTTGCAGTAAGCCAAGATTGCACCACTGCAATTCAGCCTGGGCTACAGAGCAAGACTCTGTCTCAAACAACAACAACAACAAAACACTGTCCCTTGCTGGAATTCTAACGATTATCCATCTTCAGTAGTAGTAGCAAAGTGTTGCTTACAGTCTAACTGGAATTCTTTGGGCTGCAGGTTAGCCCCTTTCTTCTTTGTTCTGTCCTCACTGGAGGGGGAAACAGCTGCACACACTTTTCTGAGCAATGTGGCAAAGGTCTTCCTTTGAGCCTTGAGATATGTAGTCATGTCCGGGACAAGGGTTTTTCTATTCCTAAGGGCTCCGAGCTCTGTTGTGGGATTCTACCAGCGATCCTCTGGACTGGTGATTAGGTCCTCTTCTAGCTAGATTAAGGTCCCATAAAGGAGGGGGGAAACTCCATCCTAACTGACCCCTGCAAAGGGTCTCTGGCATTGGTGGTATGAGAAAGGCAACGGTGAGCATTACACATAGGTTTAGGAGAGCAGCTCAGGGAGAGCCTCTAAAACCATCCCTAGCTGGGCTCTGGTACAGAAGCTCCTGAAAGGAGCTGTTAATGGAAGGCATCAGTTCGGGGGCATAAGGGACAGGAAAGCAACAGCCACAGCCGCAACAAGCAGAATTGCTAATAGAGATGGCAGGGATGGGGGTAGAGAAGGCGAAGAAGGTGGAGGGGAGGTGGGAAGTGAGGTCCGCATGCAGAAGGAAGCCACGGAGGGCCCAGCAGTGCCGCAGCTGGGTGAGATTATTGTCCAGTACTATTCAACCAGCTCTCTTAGAAGCACTTGGAAACATCCCAGCTTTCTTACCTGTGGAGTCCACACCCACACGGACCCCCGTTATGCAGGCTCTGTGGAGCACTCAACACCCAACTCTAGTATCATATTGGGATCTCTGAGTTTTACAAAATTATTAGGCCACCAAACATCTTATAAGAACATGAATGTCTTTTTGAGACATATGATCGCTAAACCTGTAGCGTTCATTTTTCCTTTGCTAATTACCATTGAGTATAACCCCTAACAGGAGAGAGAGCTTATAAAGATAAAAACCATATATATATGTGTGTACATACATATATGTGTGTATATACACACATATATATACATATATATACATGTATATACACACACACATATATATATATATATATGGTAGTTTCTGCACCAAACACTTCACCAGACCAGCCATTAGATAAGCAGATTGTCTGGTCTGGGCTCCACGCCCTTTTATATACCCCGATCACTCTCTAAAGAAGTTCTAGTGAGTAATGAAAAGGACTGATCCTGAGCTGCTGGTTCGAATTCTCTACTTCCATTGCAAGAAACCATCCCGAGTAATTTCCCGTTCTGGTTGCTGTTTTCACTGGGTCTCTTTCTTCACATGGAATTTCCTCGTGTGCTTAGGAATTTTATGTGGGAAGTTACCTGTTAGTCTTTCTCCTTCCCCACCCCACTTCTCTCTCTCTCTTTCCTCCTCTCTTCTTTTTTATTACCCATTCCTCCACTCCCTGTCTGAAACTTTTCTGGTCACTTCTCATCTTCCTCTCATCCCACCTGCGACCTCACAGATAGTTCTTTTGAAATTTCTGGGTGATGCTGGGGCTATCCCAGATCCAGTCTCCAGTCCAGCCAAACACCCAACTCTTTCCTTGGCCATAAGGTCACTCTCTGGTCCTGCTGCAGTCTGCTGCTTAGTGCTATAGGGCCAGGCACCAGATCCTAGTTTGGCAGGTACCATTTTGTCCAGAGTCATCTCTTGGGCATGGGAATGGGAGCAAGTGGCAGCAACAGATCCACCCAGCCCTAAGTTTGTGTTTGTTTGGTTTTTTTTTTTTTTTTTTTTTTTTTTTTTTTTTTTTTTTTGCAAGGGGGTGGTATTTGAGACAAGGTCTTGCTCTCTCACCCAGGCTGGAGTGCAGTGGTGTGATCATAGCTCACTGCAGCCTTAAACTCCCGGGATCAAGCGATCCTCTTATCTCAGCCTCCTGAGTAGCTGGAACTACAGGCATGCACTACCAAGCTCGGCTACTTTTTAAATTTTGCATAGAGATGGGTGTATGTTTCCAAGCTGGTCTGGAACTTCTGGGCTCAAGCAATCCTCCTGCCTTGGCCTCCTGAGGTGCTGGAATTACAGGTGCAAGCCCTAAGTTTTAATTTATGAGTCTGGTTTATGTGGCTTGTCTCTCAAGGAGCATGTTTAGATGTCATTTCCCACAGAAGTTAAACCCTCAGCCACCAGTCCCCTCTGCTGACTTCCAGACTGGTAGGCCGACCCCACTCTGCCCCTTAAATTTTCTGAGCACAGCTATTTATTTTCTATGTTTCTTTTTTTAATGCTTTAACTTGCATTGCTGAGTATTGGGAAAGAAAGGATACTCTGGAGCATGAACCCTGATGCCATCTTGAGAGGAAGACTTTCCTGAAGGCTTAATTTTATATTGATATTTATTTTTTCCACTTATAAGGATGATGGATATTCATCGTGGAAAATGTGGGAAGCTGAAAATTATAACTCTGAAATAACCACTGTTAATATGTTAGTACATTTCTTTTAAACCTTTGGCTCTATAAATGTATATGCACAAACACACACACTCATACACTTACAAAATTGATTCACAGTGTACCTTCAGTTTGGTCTTCTGCTTTTATTTTATTACCAATTATTGTTTTTCATGTATTCTGAATACAATACATACTCACTGTCGAAAATTCATTAAACACAGAAGTAGGAAAGGTATATCATCTCTAATTTTACCATCCAGTGGTAACCACTGTGAAAATGAAGTATTTCATTCTATGAATTTTGAGAAATTTGAATAAAATATATAATATTGCACAATGCTTTTTTACTTAACATGATATCATGGGCACTTTTACAGATCATCAAAATGTGATTTACAGTGACCACACAGCTCTAATTTTGTGGGGTTTTCCCCATGAATAAAGGTCAGAATATATAACCTATGCATTTTGTAATTTTTTGTAACTTAGTTTTGAAAATCTACTCATCAACCTTCAAAAAGAATATGTATTCTCAGCTTAATTTCCAATCATTATTTCAGTCTCATTAAGTATATCTTACAAATTTTTGATGCCGTTATTACTTTTTTAATCTCCATGATCTTTGAAGGCTTGGAAATTGTGTTAAAGGCTCACACAGCAGTCTTGCAACCAATTTACCTTTGTTCTAAGAACTTTTGGTTGATGTATTTAGTTTAGGTAGATAGCTCTTAAAAGACCATTTTCCTAGTTCATTGCATCTTTTATAAAAATAAAAAATCCTCTTTGGTTTAATGATTGCGCCTTAATTTCTATTTTGTCTGATGTTAATTCTGCGGCCACATATTGCTTTCCTTCATTGTTTCCCTGAAATATATTTGACAAACATTTAATTGTAAACATTTTTTTTGTTGGTTATTTATTGAGGAGTGACTTGGAACCAGGTGATAGAGAGATTTGATTTTACTTAAAAACAATCTTTATCCTCTGCTTATTGTCATGCATGATACATGTGGACTTATTATCATTTTATTGTTATCATCATCAGATATTTCTTTTGTTGTCTGCTGTTAGACATTTTTCTGGCTTTTCCTTCTGAAGTAGTTTGGCAAGTATGTATCTTATTTATGATTCTATTAATAGTTACATTTGTGGTTTCACAAACTTTGTTAGAGATAGCGTTCAGTGACAGAGACCGGGTCTAGAACATTGTCTAGAGTAGCTTTACCACATGGGGACTG